>NC_000006.12:7181212-7332727 GCF_000001405.40 Homo sapiens | reverse complement strand
AATCTGTCGTGTCATGAGTTCCTGTCTCCCAGGTAATTCTACCTCTTTTACCTAAAGCCTTATGAGGAGTTTCCAGGGAATCACCTAAAGAGCTTTGAAACGTGTTCCCTAAAAGTTGGGAAACACAGAGGACTGGTGATTCATTCATGCCTAAGAAAACTAAGGCAAGCTGTGGCTGCTCAGCAGAGGGGCTGTGTTGGATAGCTTTTCTCTCTGAGCTTGTTGAGACAAAGAATGGGTGTGAAAATCCCTTAAGAACCATGCAGTTGAGAGTTGAGTTATCTTCAGCTCTGCCCAAGGAGGCCTGGAAGCAGCAAGAAACTAGAAGAGAATGCCAGATTCTTCGGGGCTGATAGAGTATCGAGTGATCACCCAGAGGAGAAATGCCTCCGCGTAGGTCCTGGGAACTGCAGGACAGAGATCCCCAGCAACGGCAAGCTCCAAAGAGAAAGAATCAGCATTAGCCAATTGCCAAGCTGAGACTCTGAAGCCACCCAGCCAAGTATGAGCTGTCCTGTGGCCTTTGCTCTCCTCCTACAAATGGAGAGGGAAATGAGCAAAAAGGGGAAACTGGCCTCCAAAGACAGTGGTGTCCATCAGCTACAGACCTGAACTGATAGATGGGGAGGAGAAGCCCTGCTTTTGAGTGAAGATTAAAGGATTGATTAATATTAAGACAGTACAGTATACCTAATGAATTGAGACTGTTTATGCCTCACAGTGAAGACTGTTACTTTAGAGTAAGCAAAAGAAGCATTGGCCCTGCTGTGTATTCACCCAAGGAAGGGCAAAGGAAAAGCTTCTCTGAGTGCAAAAAGCTTAAAGTAGAAATGGAAGACCAAAATTAAAGTTGCATTTTGGTTTTGTCATAAGTCATGTTTGTTCAGCATACCATTTGCAAATACAACTGTTTTGAAAATCGGAGGCCCATTCCTTCAACCTCTGCTGCCACTGCTGCCACTGCCACTTCCCAGGAGGAGAGGAAGCGGGAGAGGAGCCCAAGTCTCCTGTCACCCAAGTCCTCCAGCTGCACCACCTCGAAGAGTTTAAGATGTTTGCCTATGCCAAGCTCGCCTGCACCCCCGCTCTGAAGTTCTATCTTAAACAGCGTAGAGTTGCATACAGACCTGGAGAGGGCTCTGTGGTATTTAATGGGGCCCAGAATGGTGTGTCTCAGCTAAACCAAAGAGTTTCAAACCAGGGCAATCAGCAGAGACATTGAGACTGGTGTGAAATGTAACGGTGCAGGCACTGCAACATTAGGAGTGGCTGGTTCTGCTGCTGGTATTGGAACAGTCTTTGGTAGCCTTATCATTGGTTATGCCAGAAACCCTGCACTAAAGTAGCAGCTGTTCTCATATGCTGTCCTGGGATTTGCCTTGTCCAGACTTACGGGTCTCTTTTGTTTGATGGTTGCTTTCTTGATTTTGTTTGCCATGTGATAAACCACTGCTTGACATGTTGGCAGTCATATTAATTACAGATGTAATTCTGTGTATCTTACCGTGACCCCAAAAACTATAGTGTTGGTGTCATGGAAATGTACGTTATTTCCAAGGTCATTTCATTAAAGATGTAAAAAAAGAAAGAGAGAAAGAAAATAGAAAACCCTTGGCAGATTTAAACTAGCATTTGCAAGTGATAGGTTAACTATGACTTTTTCCCCAAAATGAAAAAATGTGATCTGATCCTTGGCATACCACAGATGCTCAGTAAATGCTAATTTATACTGAAGATGGATCTTCTCTGAGTTGCTGAGAGAAACAATGGAATTTTTTTCCTAGGCTTATTTTAAAATAAGAAAATTTAAATATGAATTTACATGTGTTTCACCAGTTCAGACCTCTGTTTACTTATATTTGGCCTATTTTCACAATGGAGTCTAGGCCCATTTATATAGATTTAGACTGGCCTAGAAGCCAGGGGGTGAGATGGGCAGAAGAGCTCTCAAAGCCCTTTCCAGCCAAGAGGACATTTGTTAGAAAACTCCAGACCTACATCAGCTTTCAGCCACCACCCTCTGTGAAGCCTGTGATGACTGGCCCAATTGATCTCAGTATATTCGGCACTCAAACAAGCTTCAGCTTACTCTGCAGCCTCTCAAAATTATGGCATTGCTTTTGCCAGTTGTCTTCAGTAGTGGAAATAGTGGGAAATAAGGATACAAAAGCGAGTATCTGAATAGCCTCAGATGTTTTATTTTTGCCTCTAGTTCTTCATGACTTTCAAGGAAATTCATTAAGTTTTCAAGTCAGAATCGTATCCTAAGTAAATCTATGAGAATGTTAAATGTAGTGAGAGTGTGCCTCATCGTTATTTTATTTTATGTATTTTTTTATTTGAGATGAAGTCTCACTCTGCTACCCAGGCTGCAGTGCAATGGCGCGATCTTAGCTAACTGCAGCCTCCACCTCCCAGGCTCAAGCAATTCTCCGCCTCAGCCTTGTGAGTAGCTGGGTTTACAGGTGCGTGCCACCATGCCCAGGTAATCTTTGTATTTTTGGTAGAGACAGGGTTTCACCATGTTGGCAGGGCTGGTCTTGAACTCCTGACCTCAAGTGATCCACCCACCTGGGCCTCCCAAAGTGCTGGGATTACAGGTGTGAGCCACCGCAACCTGCCTCATTGTTTTTATTTAAATGCACTGAGAATGATTCACATGTTATATACCAAAAAGCTTGATCTTAATCTCTGAGGGTCTCATAGTTCTATCTTAAATGACGATTTCTCCTTGAAAGTGAGGGGAAAATATGCTAAATAATGGCAACTTGCTCACCATGTTCACTATTTCAGTCCCCCCTTCCTCCTTTTTACATTATTTTCTTTCTATTTCTTACAGATCAAAAAGCTTAGAAAATCATCCGAAGTCCATGACCATGGTAGGTCACCTTGATGATCATGATAAAGAATCTTACATTTCCATGTAATTTGACAATAACACAAGATTTAATAGGAGTTCCTGAAGTCACATTTCCATACTGTGCAACCTAGCCTTCCCCTCTGTCTTCAGATGAGGGCTCTTCCGTCTCCTGTCATAGCTGGTGCTATAATTGGAAACCCCTCCCTCTAATCTTGTAGGGCTCCTTCACACCATCCCCACTGCTACTCCTTCAAGCCCCTGTCGTTTCTCATATGACCTGTTGCACTCACCTCCTAATTATTGTTTCTGCCTCCAGTTTTGGTCCCCTTCATGCCATCCTCCATAGAGTAGACAGAGTGATCTTTCAAAAGCAAAATATTTTCATGCCCCTCCGTTGCATAAAGCCCTTCAGTGGTTCCCAATCACATTCTGGATCAAATCTGAGCTCCTTGGCGAGGCGTATAAAGTCCCCTATGATCTGGCTCCAGCCCTCCTATCCAGTCTTACCGTTCACTGCTTTCTCCTTCTCATCATGCATATTGGCCACATCTAACCAACTGCAGCTTTCTAAGCAAGCGATTTTTTTTTCTTTTCTTTTTAGTTGGCATATAACTTGTACATATTTATAGGATACAGGCTGGGCGCGGTGGCTGACGCCTGTAATCCCAGCACTTTGGGAGGCCGAGGCGGGTGGATCACTTGAGTTCAGGAGTTCAAGACCAGCCTGACCAACATGGGGAACCCTCGTCTCTATTAAAAATACAGAAAATTAGCCAGATGTTGTGGTGCGTGCCTGTAATCCCAGTTACTTGGGCAGCTGAGGCAGGAGAATAGCTTGAATCCAAGAGGCGGAAGTTGCAGTGAGCCAAGATCTTACCACCGCACTCCAGCCTGGGCGACAGAGAGAGACTCTATCTCAAAAAAAAAAAAAAATATATATATATATATACACACACACACACACACACACACACACACACACACACACACACACTTATAAGATACAGAGTAGTACTTCCATGCATGTGCACAATGTGTGATGATTACATCAGTGTAATTAGCAAATCTATCACTCCAGACATTCATCAGTTCTTTGTGTTGGGAGGATTCAAAATCCTCTCTTCTAGCTATTTGAAAATATCCAATAAATTATGGTTAACTCTAGTTACCCTGCAGTGTTACAGAACACTGGGACTTATTCCTTCTATCTAGCTGTCATTTTGTATCCATTCACCAACTTCTCCCTATCCTCCCCTCACTGCCCTTCTCAGCCTCTACTAACCATGGTTCTACTTCCTACCTCTATGCATGGTATGTCATTTCTGTGCTTTCCTGTTATTGCTCATGCAGCTTCTCCTACTTGGTATGTTCTTCCCCAACTCTTTCTCTCAGTTACTCAGTTCCCACCTCACAAACGCCTGTCAGCTCAAGCTCTGCCTCCTCTCTGAAGCTTTTCCTGCTCTGTCTCCCAAATGGAACTGACTTGCTTCCTCCCATGTGCTCACACTATACCCTTTGACGTAATAGCACCTATGACACAGCATTACAGTTCTCTGCTTGCATGTCCTTTGACTTGACTAGAACTCTTTGAGTACAGGAATTGTCTCATATTCATTTTGATATCCTCAAGTACCTATCTCATAAAAGGTACTAAATAGGAGTGAATGTTAGACTTGGGACCCAGGACCAATGCTACACTTGCTGGAGTGATCCCAAACAGCAGACACAGCTGCTGCCACCTCTGTCCCATTCCAGGACATGGGTATGTTCATAAATGCCGTGGCCTATTTGTAACATAGCTTTGGGGATGAGGGGACACTCAATAGGGCATGCCTCCATATGCTGCCATTGAGACCCAGCTTTTCTCATAGTTGAACTAAGAGGGTGCCTTAATACTGTCAATGGTTATTTATTTATTTATTTATTTATTTATTTTTTAGACGGAGTTTCACTCTTGTTGCCCAGGCTGGAGTGCAATGGCGCAATCTCGGCTCACTGCAACCTCCACTTCCGGGGTTCAAGTGATTCTCCTGCCTCAGCCTCCCGAGTAGCTGGGGTTACAGGCAGGTACCACCACGCCTAGCTAATTTTGTATTTTTAGTAGAGACGGGGTTTCTCCATGTTGGTCAGGCTGGTCTCAAACTCCTGACCTCAGGTGGTCCGCCTGCCTCAGCCTCCCAAAGTGCTGGGATTACAGGCGTGAGCCACCGCGCTCAGCCAATACTATCAATTTTTAACTATGCCATGCTGCTAAATCACTTTTGGATTATTCAGATTCTTGCTTCTATTCCTTTTTCTACATCTGTCAATTGCCAACCAAACCAAGGAAGATGAAACTCAATCCACATTGTTCTTCATGGTGTTCCTTAGTGGGAAAAAGGTTGAAACAAACAAACAAAAATATCAGTTAAAATATAGTGTTGGGGGCCAGGTGTGGTGGCTCACACCTGAGCTCACAGCTGAGGCAGGTGGATCACTTGAGGTCAGGAGTTCGAGACCAGCCTGGACAACATGGCAAAACCCCATCTCTATCAAAAATATAATCCTAGCACTTTGGGAGGCTGAGGTGGACAGATCACTTGAGGTCAGGGGTTCGAGACTAGCCTGGCCATCATGGTGAAACCCCGTCTCTACTGAAAATACAAAAAATAGCCGGGCATGGTGTTGAGTGTCTATAATCCCAGCTACTTGGGAGGCAGAGGCAGGAGAATCGCTTGAACCTGGGAGGCAGAGCTTGCAGTGAGCCGAGATTGTACCACTGCACTGCAGCCTGGGTAACAGAGTGAGACTCTGTCTCAAAACAAACAAACAAAATATAGTGTTGGTATTATCTGTGGAATTCATCTATCTATAGGCTTACTTTGCACCCCTTTTCCATATGTAATAAAAAATTGGCTGTTTAGGGGTTCTGTCACTGAATGTTAGTCTTTCCCCAAAACTTACGAAACATTTTTCCTTTCATTTTTAGATGCCAGCTCTTTTTAAAGAAAATAGAAATGATTTAGATTAAACAAGCCTGAAGATTAAACAGTAATCATTTTTGTCAACCACTCCAGGAAGAGTCATTACTACATATGCTAGCCAAATCAATCCATGCAGATGATATATTAAAATCTGTATAAAGGGTAAAGTCTTACATTCCAAAGATGTGATTACTTTTCTTCTAATTTCTTCCTGTGAATAATCAAATATATTCTATTTAACATAAACAGAAGAATACAGTGGTTTTTTGACCAAATATTCTCACAGAATACCACTCCCATATTATCAGGCCTTTAATGATGCACAAAAATAGTCATGGATTTCACTTCAACTTTTTATTTCCTCTGCAGGACATCCTTTTTCTGTCCAGGCAGGCAGATTCTTCATAATACCAACCAAATTTTAAAAGACACCAACTCTGAAATCCTTTGGAATTATAACGCAGATAAAAGAGCCTGGGTGGCCAGGCGCGGTGGCTCATGCCTGTAATCCCAGCAGTTTGGGAGGCCGAGGCGGGTGGATCATGAGGTCAGGAGATCGAGACCATCCTGGCTAACATGGTGAAACCCCGTCTCTACTAAAAATACAAAAACTTAGCCAGGTGTGGTGGCGGGGGCACCTGTAGTCCCAGCTACTCGGGAGGCTGAGGCAGGAGAATGGTGTGAACCCGGGAGGCGGAGCTTGCAGTGAGCCCAGATCGTGCCACTGCACTCCAGCCTGGGCGACAGAGCAAGACTCTGTCTCAAATAAAATAAATAAATAAATAAAGAGCCTGGGCAACATAGGAAGAGCTCATCTCTACTAAAAATCAGAAACATTAGCCAGGTATGCTGGCAAGCACTTGTTGTCCCAGCTTACTGGGTGGCAGGGGAGGGGAGTGTGGTATAAGGGGGTGGGGATGGGAGGTTGCTAAGGCAGGAGGACGGCCTGAGCCCAGGAGGAGGCTGCAGTGAGCCATGATCATACACCGCACTCTAGCCTAGGCAACAGAGTGAAACCCTGTCTCAAAACAGAAAAACCCAGATGAAAGGAAAGGACTGGTCTCTTAAGACCTAACCCTTATAATTTCCACTTTCACATAGTTTTGAGGAATTAGTTCCGAATTTAAACAAAGGAGCCAGAGAGAGCTGATTTTGTGAGATGCACTAGAAAAATAAATGTATATAACATACATATTATCCTTTTGATAAATCCCAGAACCGGACTGGAGGTATAGCTATTGATCAAAATATGCCTTACGGCTGGGCACGGTGGCTCACGCCTGTAATCCCAGCACCTTGGGAGGTCGAGGCAGGTGGATCACTTGAGGTCAGGAGTTCGAGACCAGCCTGGCCAACATGTTGAAACCCTGTTTCTACTAAAAAAAAATACTAAAATTAGCCGGGCATGGTGGTGAGTGCCTGTAGTCCCAGCTACTCTGGAGGCTGAGGCCAGAGAATTGCTTGAACCTGGGAGGCAGAGACTGCAGTGAACTGAGATCTCACCACTGCACTCCAGCCTGGGCAACAGAGTGAGACCCTATCTCAAAAAAAAAAAAAATAAAAATTATATATATATATATATATATATAATATATACATATAAAAATATATATATATACACACACACACCCCTTAGGTGGAAGAGAAAAACTATTTTATCTCACTAAAGTTAGTTTTGCACTTAAATTAGATAAATACGAGATGAAAATATATGTAGAGTATATATCTGGTCCTGAAGGAAGTGGTGAATAAATAAAAGCTATTATTATTGTTGTCATGGAAAGGATGGGGTTATTAGTTAGCTGTGGGAGTGGAGAGAGAAGGGTCTAGGAAGCCTAGAAGAGCTCTGGATGAACGATGTAGAGAAGACCAGAGGGATAGCTGGTTTGTAAGGAGAGATACCCTGAGTTTGAGGTAGCTGTGAAGCATCTTGAGTGGAGGTATTTCATAAGCAGTTATGTATATGCTGAGAAGTGATCAGGGAAGAGACTGAAGATCAAGGAGAGAGAGGGATCATTGATGAAGCAAGATGTCAGAGGAGAAAAGAGAGACTAGGCTCCACAGCACAGCCTAGGGACAGGGACAGCTCTTCCTCTGAAATCAGGACAGGCATGTTCAGGGCAAACATAAGCCGTGGTGTAGTAAGTTGAGGGAGCTCATGGCCGGGAGTGTCACTCTCTTCTTGTAGTAGGGGGACGGAAGAGAGAAGTGAAAGTTGGAAATAGCCACAGCTTCTGCCTTCACAGAGTAAAGCTTTGGCTCTCACCACAGGAGATTGCATGGGGACGCAGTTTCCTCTCCCGTCTGTGGACTTACGCACTTTCCTCTTTTTTCCTCTGGTCTGTTTGGTCTCTTGTCCTCTTGACTCTGACCCATCGTATCTCCTTGAGGATTTGCTCCGGCAATCATTTGTATCTTCTCACACCTTCCTTTATAACTCTTCATTGAACCCTACCCTAGCCTTTAAAAAATATCCTTCCTGCAACCCTTTTCTTTTCTAAAGCTATCATGGTTCCTCTCTTTTCACTCCCCATGATAAACCTTCCAAAAATTGTTATTTGCAGTTTACAAGGCACTTTCACACACTATCCTAAGTAGGTTATCTGAACTCATAGTGTTTCTGATAGCTATTTTCCTGTATCTCCAGTCTTCATAACTCTGATTTTTGAAGGCTGTATAATATTTCATGGATATGTGTCATAATTCACTTAAATATATTTTATGGACAGGTTTTCAAATCCTTACTCCATAGTCAGTGTTCATTGCCTTCCATGCTCTGGGCCCAAACTTCTGTGCCTTTCCCCATATTGTTTCCTTTTTTGGGAATGCACTTTCCTTGCCCACTAAAAGCTCTCCTTTCTTCACATCCACCATGCAGTACCTCATATTTAAAACATTTGTACCCTTTGAGATCTAATTCAGATCTCACCCTCATCCTCATCTGAAATGCCTCTTTCGTCTGTTTTATCTGACTTTTTAATGGCACTTAGCACATTCTTCCCTAAATTATAATGCAGGAGAGATAGTACGGAATAGGAAAAAGAGCACTCGACAGGGAATCATAAGATTCAGATTCAAACCCTGGCTCCTCCATAACATCTGTTTTAGGAAACTAAGTTCATAGTCACTCTAGTTTAAGAAGAGTTACAGGACTGTGCTAATATTGTTTAAGGATATAAATGTTTTGTATATTATGTTCTATCTTTCAAAGATCGTTAACATTCGCCTATATAAATGCAACTCTTGGTAAGAGTGAGCCGCCTATATAATTCAAATCTAGCAGATCCAGTCTGAAAAAAACTGCAAAGGACTTTGGGAATTAGTATGAATTATGATTGCACCTTAGGGGTAAGGTGTGAAACTGGACAAAGATCATCCTGTATTTAGCAAGGTTAAATGTGCATGAAGAACAATTAGAATATATTTTTATAAAAGTCTAGTGGGCACAATATGGTAAAAATTCAACACTATAATACAGTGGAGGATTCTTATCATAAATGGGGCCAAGGGCCAAAGAAGGTGCTGGGAGAAGAGTTTTCAATTTTCAAAATTTCACAGCAAAGCTGCTCCACTGGGCATGTCTCCACTTGTTTGATGGGAGGATTTGATCCCCTAATGAAAGAGTGTTGGTAACTGGAAGAAGAGGCATAAAACCTATAGTACATAAATACACAAGTTATTACCACCAATAAATGTATTTTCTATACTCTTCCCTTTATTGAGGGATGATTTATGTGCTGTAAAATTCAACTATTTTAAGTATACAATTCAGTGATTTTTAGCAAATTTATATAGTCATGCAATAATCACCACAATCTAGTTTTACAATATTTCCATCACCCCATCCCCAAATTTCCTCCATCCTATTTGCAGTCCGTCACTGCTCCCACCCCATGTTTCCCAAGGATTCTGATCAATCTTCTTCCTGGGGAACATCCAAGAGAAGGGTTGGTAGGACAAACTGTGATCAACTGCTGTGTTTGAGCTTGAGGCATCGGGGCTGCTACCTGGGAAAGTTTTAGTATTCTGCTGTCATCTCCTATGAACTATCTAGTTTTTGCAGGGGCAAGCTGGCAAATTAAACTGGGATTTAACACAGACCACCACCCCTTTGAAGGTGACACACACCTCTACCATTCCCCACTGATGTGATTGGTTTGTATTTTTAATTTTTAATTTTGGCTGCGGAGGGGAGTAGTGGTGGTATTCAATACTAAATGGCAGTTGTGGTGGTGCTTCAGGGCTCTTTGTCATAGGAACCTGACTTCTGCTTCAGTTCTGGGATTGATAATTGGGTCAGGCCCAGTGGAGGAAGGGGAGCTGTCTAAATTCGTTCCTGCTGCTGTAACAAAATACCTGAGACTGGGTAACTTATAAAGAACAGAAATTTAGGACGGGCGCAGTGGCTCACACCTGTAATCCCAGCACTTTGGGAGGCCAAGGCAAGCAGATCACGAGGTCAAGAGATGGAGACCATCCTGGCCAACATGGTGAAACTCTGTCTCTACTAAAAATACAAAAATTAGCTGGGCGTGGTGGCGCACGCCTGTAGTCCCAGCTACTCGGGAGGCTGAGGCAGGAGAATCGCTTGAACCCGCGAGGCAGAGGTTGCAGTGAGCCGAGATTGAGCCACTGCATTCCAGCCTGGCTACAGAGTGAGACTCTGTCTCAAACAAACAAAAAAAGAACAGAAATTTATTTCTCACAGTCTCAGAGTTTAGAAATCTGAGATCGAGGTGCCAGTAGGTTCGGAGTCTGGTAAAGGCTGCTCTCTGCTTCCTTGTTGCTGTGGCCACCAGAGGTGATGGATGCTGTGTCCTCACATGGCAGAAAGAACGCAGGTCGGGTGCAGTGGCTTGTGCCTGTAATCCCAGCACTTCAAGAGGCTGAGGTGGGTGGATCACTTGAGGTCAGGAGTTCAAGACCAGCATGGCCAACATGGTGAAACCTCGTCTCTACTAAAAATACAACAATTAGCTGGCTATGGTGGCGCATGCCTGTAATTCCAGCTACTCAGGAGGCTGAGGCACAAGAATCACTTGAACCTGGGAGGCGGAGGTTGTGGTGAGCTGAGATCGTGCCACTGCACTCCAGCCTGGGTGACAAAGTGAGACTCCGTCTCAAAAACTAATAATAATAAAAAATCAAGACTGGCAAAAAGGGCCTAGCTAGTTCTCTCCAGAGCTTTTATATGGTTGCTGATCTCATTCATGAGGGCTCTGACTTCAAGACTTAATCACCTCCGAAAGGCTCCTCTTCTTATAATATTATCATGTGAATTTTAGGGGACACATTCAGACCACAGCAGTATCAAAACTTTTTATTGGGATGACTGCCCTCAGCCTCCTGGTTTTTCTTGATTTCTTTTTTTCTTTTTTTTCTTTTTTGAGATGGAGTCTCGCTCTGTCTCCAGGCTGGAGTGCAGTGGCACAATCTCAGCTCACTGCAACCTCCACCTCCTACATTCAAGCAATTCTCCTGCGTCAGCCTCCCGAGTAGCTGGGACTACAGGCACGTGCCACCACGCCTGGCTGATTTTTGTATTTTTAGTATAGACGGAGTTTCACCATGTTGGCCAGGATGGTCTCGATCTCCTGACCTCGTGATCCACCTGCCTTGGCCTCCCAAAGTGCTGAGATTACAGACGTGAGCCACTGCGCCCGGCCTCTTGATTTATTTAATTGTATAAACTAAACAATGCTGTTGTTGGGTGCCCATCTGTCTTGCCTCTAGGAAGGCGTTTTATCAGCTATTACCATAACTCTCTACAGGTTACTCCCCTTGCCCGTTCCCCAGCCCCTCTCCCCTATTCTGACCCTGCAGAATTGTGAGCAGTGTGCCCACATTGTTGCTGACCATTAGGTGATGCCGTCTGGCCTCCATTCCCATCCTTACTCCCACTGCTGTCAGTGCAGTTCCATTACGGCATCTCTTGCCCTGAGCCCAGACCTCCAGAGCACAGCTGACCAATGTTCTTCTCAGCCCCTCTCACCAGTGCATTTCTCATCGCTTTGGTAAATGGAGTGTCCTCTAAGGCCTCTTACAGAATATAAGCAGGTGAGTTTCCCAGCCTTATGTAGTACAGTTATCCCTCAGTATCCGAGGGGGACCAGTTCCAAGACTCCCAATGTATACCCAAATCTGCGGGTGCTGAAGTTCCTTAAAATGACATATTATTTGGCCAGGCGCAGTGGCTCACGCCTGTAATCCCAGCACTTTGGGAGGCCGAGACGGGTCGATCACAAGGTCGGGAGATCGAGACCATCCTGGCTAACACGGTGAAACCCCATCTCTACTAAAAATACAAAAAATGAGGCAGGCATGGTGGCGGGTGCCTGTAGTCCCAGCTACTCGGGAGGCTGAGGCAGGAGAATGGGGTGAACCCTGGAGGTGGAGCTTGCAGTGAGCCAAGATGGTGCCACTGCACTCCAGCCTGGGCGACAGAGCGAGACTCCATCTCAAAAAAAAAAATGACATACTATTTGCACATAACCTACACACACCCTTCCATATACTTTAAATCAGCTCTAGATTACTTATAATATCTAACATAGCATCAATGCTATGTAAACTGTTATACTTTTATTTGTATCTTTATTGTTCTGATTTTTATTTATTTTCCAATATTTTTGATCTGCAGTCAGTTGAATCCAAGAATACAGAACCTGTAGACACAGAGAGTAGACAGTGTGCCCATTCTAGCAGGCCTATATTTAGGTGCCAAGCAGAGAAGAAGGAGGGGTTGCTGAGGTGGAAGGAAAACCAGAAGCATGGATGTCGGTGAGCCTCGAGAAACAAGTGCTCAAGAATGAGAGGAGGAAAGGCTCACATGAGGGCCATTAGACCTAGCAAATTTTAGTGAAGTGTTAAAAATAAGAGCACAGTTGGAATAGACTGAGAAGAAAATGGAGGGGTAAAATACTGATGCTTTACTGTGTCAGGGAGCGGAGAAATTAGACTATTGCTGAAGGGGAACCAAGGCCGAGAGAGTTTTTTTTTAAAGACAGGGAATATTATATTTGTCTGTTGATGTTCAAATAATGAATTAGAGAAGTAGAAATGTATTGTGAGGGAGAAAAGAGGGGGCTATTTTCAGAATCTCATGTCCTTGAGCAGGAGATGGGATCTAAACCACAAATGGTGGTTGGCCTTTGATGGGCCTCTAAACATCGTTTTATTGTAACTGAAAGGACTGATGGCTCATACCTGTAATCCCAGCACTTTGGGAGGCCAAAGTGGGAGGATTGCTTGAGGCCAGGAGTTGGAGACCAGCCTGGACAACATAGCGAGACCCCATCTCTACAAAAAAAAAAATTTGCTGGGCATGGTGGTGTGCCTGTAGTCTTAGCTACTTGGGAGGCTGAGGCAGGAGGATTTACTTGAACCCAGGAGTTCAAGGTTACAATGAGCTATGACTGTTTCACTGCACTCCAGCCTGGGAGACACAGCCAGACCCTATCTCACAAAAAAAAAAAAAAAAAAAAAAAGGCAGAGCCTGAGCACAAGGATGCAAGTAAGTGGGGGGTCTTGTGGTGACTGATCAGGTAGTTATGACTTCATCTGTTCTTTTCTATGAAGTATGTGCTGGGGAAGGATTGGAGGCCTTCCTAAGTGAGGAGGTGGGCTGGAGAGCCAGCACTCCCTTTAAAGTCGTTCTTATTTCTTGTTTCCTTTCCCATAGTGCCCTCTTTTCATAAGGATTATAAAGGAGTTTTTTTCCTTGGAGGTATAGTTCACAAAAGCTAATTCTTTTTTTTTTTTTTTTTTTTTTGCCCTTGCTACATGAAAGAATGCTTAAGCGTTTGCTTATATATAATAAACATAATGTTTTTGGGGTTTTTTACTCAATGTTTTTTCATTTCTTATTAGGTTTACAATCAAACTTGGGTTCAAATTTATGGAGGAAAGATGTGACTTGTAACAACACTATACCTTCATTGATTCAACAAATACTTACTGAGTTCACACTGGTTGTCAGGCACCCTTCTATAACATTAAGACACAAACTCCCTGGCCACAAGATGTTCACAGGTGACCAACAGGAGACAGGCTGAACTATATTGTGAGAGGAGATAACCAGTACTATGAACAAGAGGAGAACAGAGGGAAATGGAGAATGTGGGGGCAGGAGGGTTGGAATTTTAAAGCAGAGGTCAAGGTAAGCCTCACTGAGAAGGTGACAGTTGAGCAAAGATTTAAAGGACATGAGCGGCTGGACGCAGTGTCTTACACCTGTAATCCCAGCACTTTGGGAGGCCGAGGGGAGGGGGGTGGATCACTTGAGGTTAGGAGTTCGAGACCAGCCTGACCAACATGGTGAAACCTCGTCTCTACTAAAAATACAAAAATTAACCGGGCGTGGTGATGGGTGCCTGTAATCCCAGCTACTCTGGAAGCTGAGGCAGGAGAATCGCTTGAACCCAGAAGGCAGAGGTTGCCATGAGCCGAGATTGTGCCACTGCACTCCAACCTGGGTGACAGAGCAGGACTCCATCTCAAAAAAATAAAGGACATGAGGGAGTTTCTTGGCCACACAGTTACTTGGTGGGGGTATAAAAGAACAAACACGAGTACTTAACAAACACATTTGTGAGTGATGTGGAGGGAAATCTTAAGTAATCAAAGGGAAAGAATCCTCTGCTTTTACACATTCTAAGGGAATGAAATGACAGATGTGGAGAATCAACTACGGATTTGTCTGAGGTCTGTGAAGGAGAGTCACCAGGATATGGAATATTCCCTGAAAAGAAATCCCTTCAAAGAGATTGGTACAGACATGGGGAGAGATTTGGAAAGACTTAAATAAATTAGTAAATGGAATTCATAATTCCATAAATTAAGGATTGGAACCAAGTAGGGCAGAGAGCTCTGGGTGGGCACCAAGGAAAAGCTGCTTATTACGGGAAGAATGTGGATCACAGTGATGCAGAATTGGTGAGCACACTGGTCAGGGTGAGCCCCTTACTTCCTTGATCACAGCTGTCATTTTTTAATACTAATTGGACAGTCACACAGGTCTTCTGTTTTCTGTTTACATGTTATTTTCCCTAAATTCATCACATCAGTAATATCTCGAGTAGGCACACTTTATTTTTCCTGTTGTACCAATAGTAGCTGGTTGTGTAAAATTCAAGTCCCAAATAAAATCCGATAGTAATCGATTGATGACATCATCATTGGAGTGGAAGTCACAGGTTAAGCCTAAACTAAATTATCCTTACATGTTCAGGCTACGTCTAAACATCTGAGAACCGGTGAGACAGACCTACTAGGAATCTCTTTACCATAAAGAATGAGACGTCGTCCCCTTCAGTAATCAGTCCTCTGAATGGGGAAAGCAAGCCAGTAAGACACGGTGGTGCCGTGATGGAGAGCAGGTGTGATTTTGAGTACAGCATGAAGTCTGTAACTTCACCATCTATTACAGTTCCCATCAATTGTTTTTGGTGTTAGGAGAGAGTAGCAAGTTAAACAGAAAGATGTATTTGTCAAAACACCTGTCAGACATCAACAAGCTCAGAGCAGGTCTCATTTGAAACTCATGAAAGGGTGCCTCAAAGTAGGGGAGGGAGATTATGCTGAGTCAGTGGAGAACTCTGTAAGGTACAGTCACCTCAAAGCAGGGACAGCGTGCTGGCAGTCCTTGCTCGCTCTGGGGGCCTCCTCGGCCTTGGCGCCCACTCCAGCAGCGCTTGAGGAGCCCTTCAGCCCGCCGCTGCACTGTGGGAGCCCCTTTCTGGGCTGGCCAAGGCCAGAAGCGGCTCCCTCAGCTTGCGGGGAGGTGTGGAGGGAGAGGCGCGGGCGGGAACCAGGGCTGCGCGCGGCGCTTGTGGGCCAGCGCGAGTTCCGGGTGGGCGTGGGCTTGGCGGGCCCCGCACTCGGAGCGGCCAGCGGGTCCGGGCAGTGAAGGGCTTAGCACCTGGGCCAGCAGCTGCTGTGCTCTATGTCTCGCTAGGCCTTACCTGCTCCGCCGTGGGGCAAGGCTCGGGACCTGCAGCCTACCATGCCTGAGCCTCCCCGACGAGCGCCACCCCCAGCTCCACAGCGCCCAGTCCCATCGACCACCCAAGGGCTGAGGAGTGCTGGCGCACCGCGCGGGACTCGCAGGCAGCTCCACCTGCAGCCCCGGTGTGGGATCCACTGGGTGAAACCAGCTGGGCTCCTGAATCTAGTGGAGATTTAGAGAATCTTTCTGCCTAGCTGAGGGATTATAAACACACCAATCAGCACTCTGTATCTAACTCAAGGTTTATAAACACACCAATCAGCACACTGTATCTAGCTCAGGGTTTGTGAATGCACCAATTGGCACTCTAATCTGGTGGGGATTTGGAGAATGTCTAACTAAGGGATTGTGAATGTACCAATCAGCACTGTGTCTAGCCCAGGGTTTGTGAACACACCAATTGACACTCTGTGTATAGCTAACCCAGTGGGGACATGGAGAACTTTGTGTCTAGCTCACCAATTGAAAACACACCAATCAGCTCTAAAATAAACCAACCAGCAGAATGTGAAGCCAAATAAACGGAAAAAAAAGCAGGCTGCCTGAATCAGTGGCAACCTGCTCAGGTCCCACTCCAGTGTCCAGAATTGGGGGCTCATTAGCCTCCCTGACTTAAAGAATGAAGCTACAGACCCTCACAGTGAGTACTACAGTTCTTAAAGGCAGTGTATCCGGAGTTTCTTCCTTCTGGTGGGCTTGTAATCTCACTAGCCCAAGAGTAAACCCACAGACCTCCACAGTGAGCGTTACAGCTCTTAAGGTGGCATATCTTGAGTTATTCATTCTTCCTGGCGGGTTCGTGATTTCCCTAGCTTCAGGAGCGAAGCTGCAGACCTTCATAATGAGTGTTATAACTCATAAAGGCAATATGAGCTTAAAGAGCAAAAGAACAGATATTTTCCCAGCATGGAAAGAAACTGGAGCCTGTTGTCGCTGCTAAGCTCAGGGCAGCCTGCTTTTATTCTTATCTGGCCCCACCCACACCCTGCTGATTGGTAGAGCCGAGTGGCCTGTTTTGACTGGGCACTGATTGGTGCGTTTACAATCCCTGAGCTAGACACAAAGGTTCTCCACGTCCCCACTAGATTAGCTAGATACAGAGCGTGGACGCAAAGGTTCTCCAAGGTCCCACCAGAGTAGCTAGATACAAAGTGTCGATTGGTGCATTCACAAAGCCTGAGCTAGACACAGGGTGCTGATTGGTGTGTTTACAATCCCTGAGCTAGACATAAAGGTTCTCCACGTCTCCACCAGACTCAGAAGCCCAGCTGGCTTCACCCCGTGGAACCCGTACTGGGGCTGCAGGTGGAGCTGTCTGCCAGTCCCATGCCTGTGCACCTGTACTGATCAGCCCTTGGGTGGTGGAAGGAACTGGGCACCGTGCAGCAGGGGGTGGCGCTGGTCGGGGAGATTCCGGCTGCACAGAAGCCCATGGGGTTGGGGGAGGCTCAGACATGGTGGGCTGCAGGTCCCGAGCCCTGCCCCGCGGGAAGGCAGCTAAGGCCCGGTGAGAAATCGAGCACAGCAGCTGCTGGCCCAGGTTCTAAGCCCCTCACTGCCCCCCGCCTGGCCCAGTTGGCCGCTCCCACTGCAGGGCCCGCCAAGCCCACGCCCACCCGGAACTCGCACTGGCTGGCAAGCACCGCGCGTAACCCCAGTTCCCGCCCGCCCACGCCTCTCTCCACACCTTCCCGGCAAGCTGAGGGAGCTGGCTCCGGCCTTGGCCAGCCCAGAAAGGGGCTCCCACAGTGCAGCGGTGGGCTGAAGAGCTCCTCAAGTGCCACCAAAGTGGGGGCCCAGGCAGAGGAGGCGCCGAGAGCGAGCGAGGGCTGAGTACTGCCAGCATGCTGTCACCTCTCAGAAGCTTTGTTTTTTGCAATAAATCTTGCTGCTGCTCACTGCCTTTATGAGCTGTAACACTCACCGCGAAGGTCTGCAGCTTCACTCCTAAAGCCACCGAGACTATGAACCCACCAGGAGGAATGGACACCTTAACAGCTGTAACACTCACTGCGATGGTCTAGTAGCTTCACTCCTGAGCCAGTGAGACCATGAACCCACCAGAAGGAAGAAACTCGGAACACATCCGAACATGATGAAGGAACAAACTCTGGACTTTAAGAACTGTAACACTCAGCACGAGGGTCTGCGGTTTCAGTCTTAAAGTCAGTGAGACCAAGAACCCTATTCCAGACACAGCTCTGACATAGAGTGGCAACACTGGTAGCGTGCACAGGAGCAGAGGCAGCAGCAAAGTGAGAGGAGGCCCTCCACTTATGCTGGGCGCCCTAGTAGCAGCAGCAACACAGCAGCGGTGCCACTGGTGGCCTGGCAGAGTGGAATTTGGTTGATTCAGCCCAGCACCATCAGGCTGTGACTTTAGCAGACTGTAGGTAGTGGTGGCAGTGGGTCCAAGCTGCATTTACAGCCCCCAGGACAAGGAGACCTGAAGCGGAAACAATGCAGGAGTAGAACAGCAAATGTCCTAGGTCAGTAGTGTATGGAATCTGGAACCAGATAGCCTTGTTCAAATCTTGCATCTGCCGTTTGCTAGCGTTTTGAAGCTTTGAGTAAATTACTAACCTCTCTGGGTCTGTTTTCTCCTCAGTAAATAATATCCAGCTCATAGAGAGGTTTAGAAAATTAAATGAAAAAGCACAGCTCTAAGGAGGTGATTGACAATAGTAAGCATATGATTTATTTCCTCATCTTTATGACATCTCACTCTGGTCCAGACCAAGATTACTTAATATTCAGATTAATTTCATGAACTGCTATATTACTCCAGCAACTCAAATCCAAAATAGATGAAAAGGAAACTAAAGAAAACTGGACAGCCATTGCTGCACCTATTGTATAGTTACAAATGCTGACTACATACCAAAACACTGTTTAGGTGACTTATAATTCTGGAATGTCACATACGAATTTAAGAATTGCTGGCCAGGCGCAGTGGCTCACACCTGTAATCCCAGCACTTTGAGAGACCCAGGCGGGTGGATCACCTGAGGTCAGGAGTTTGAGATTAGTCTGGCCAACATGGTGAAACCCCCGTCTCCAGTAAAAATACAAAAATTAGCCGGGCGTAGTGGTGCGCGCCTGTAGTCCCAGCTGCTTAGGAGGCTGAGGCGGGAGAATCGCTTGAACCCGGGAGGCGGAGGTTGCGGTGAACAGAGATGGTGCCACTGAACTCTGGCCTGGGCGACAGAGCAAGACTTCGTCTCAAAAATAATAATTTAAGAATTGTCATTACTTAACCATGGGAGAGGGTGTGGGCAGACAGGGGACAAAGATTTTCCACTGTGTATTTTCATGGTTTTTCCTTTGAACAATGTCCTCTCTTCCAACAAAATTTTTTGCTTTTAAGTGCCACATAAAGGCAGCTCATGTTCCTTACATCGCCGTTATCAAGAGGATCGTCATTCAAATAAAGTAACCACTGACAATGCTAATTAATTGGAAGTAAAGAACTGGGCGGAAAGAACGGCTAACCGCAAGCTGCCGGGTCGCAACTGCGGCGGAAGGCGGACTCTCGCGGGAGCCACAAAGAGGCAGCAGCCGGCCACGTGACTTCCCGGTGGCCTGCTCTCCCCACCTCTCCGCGCTGAGCAGCCACGTCGGCGGCGGTCCCTGGTCCAGGGAGGGGCGTGGCAAAGGCCCGTGCGCGGTACGTGTCCCGCCCCTCGCTGCCCGGAGCCCGGATGAAGAGTAACGCCATTACCGCCGGAGCCGCCGAGAGCCTTAGCCGACGGAAACTGGACACTGGACCGGCAGCGCCATGAGACTCCTCCCCCGCTTGCTGCTGCTTCTCTTACTCGTGTTCCCTGCCACTGTCTTGTTCCGAGGCGGCCCCAGAGGTGAGGCTGGGGGAGTGTGCGGAGGGGATGGCCAGGAAGGAGATGCCAGTGATGGCAAGTTTGAAGTTGGAGGCGGTGGCCGCTCCGGGTCCTGGGGTCCGCGTCCACCCCGCTGGCCTCTCTCCGCCCTCTCCCCAAGCCTAGGCTCGTAGCAGCAGGGGTCCCCGCGGGCGCTGGAGACCCCGCTGCGGCCTGCCCCTTGCACGCGGAGCGCGGGGCCGTGCCCGGGCGACCTTGCTTCGTGGCCGGCCGAGGGCTGGGCTTGCTCCTCTTGCCCTGGACCCTCGCCTGCAGGAGCGGCCAGAACTGGAGGGTCCTCGGCTGCAGGAGGAGGCGCTGGACACGGCTGCGCTCCGAGCGCGCCGCAGCCGGGCTGTTTCTTTTGGCCACCTCCGGCTCCGCTCCACCCCCAGCCCCTCGCGCTCAGGGCTGACGTGTCTTTAGCTTCCACGCCGGGAGTCCGTCTTCATTCATTTGCCAAAACCCTTGTTTTCTACACATCTAAGCCATCAGAGTGTCTTGTTCAATGGTCATCTGCCTTGTTCACGCCCTGCTTGACCCGTATGTGTTACTAGGAGGCTTGATTTCAGAAAAACTACCCCATCGTCACCCCCGTTATCCGCCCCTGCTGCCAAGCAGACTGAAGAATCCCTGTGGGATGTCTCCCTTCTGCCTTCTTCCTCTTCTTGTCTTTCCATGGAACAATTTTTTGTTTGTGGAAACATCGTATTGTGCTGAAAAAATGTGGCCTACTTCGAGTGTTTTTAATACATAGATTTATTCTTTCAACAATTAACCCAGCAATTAAGTGTGAAAATAACTTAGCAGAATATAAAAATATGGCAACTTGACTTCCTGCACAGGTTTTGTCGTGAACTTCGACTTTCTAATTTGTAAAGTGAAATAATTAGTCTGACTAAGCATCCCTTTCATTCTGTAAGTTTAAGCAAGCTGTGTGTCTTAACGGTAGTGACAGGTATTCACGAGTTGTTTTGCGATGAAAAGTGAAGTGACTGGCTTCTGTTTAATGGCTAGAAAACCAAGTGGGAGAATTAAACAACTGTTAATGAGTTAATCTGCAGGTTTAACAAGATTTTTTACTTTAGGAGTCGTTTGCTGGTACTCTTTAAGCTTTTTAAAAGAAAACTTGACAAATGTAGTTTTAGTTTTAGAACTATTTATAACTATTTTCAAGTTATAAAAACTTTCAAGAAGCATGAATTCATTATCTAAACTGAATTAATATCTTGTAAACATTTTTTGTGAGAAACGGTTTTTGTGTTTGGTTTTTCCAGTTGAATGAAGACTGTTAGACTTCATGGGGACAAAATTGTTATTGGTTAACATTAAAATAATAAAATTGTTTAATATTTATGAAAGGCCTTTATATTCCAAAGTGCTCAAATTTAACCACGACTTTAAATTACTATATCAGACATGGTATTTTTCTTACTGGTTTTTGAAAAGGACTTGTAAGTTATGAATGCACTATTTTAGGCTTTGTTCAGCAGGCAGTGAAATCTCTTTAGTTCATAATGCATGGTTCAGTGTTCTTTAATATTTTGCAATAAATCTTAGCAGCCAGTGAGAACTTAAAGACATGGAAAAGACTGCAAATGCATGGTCCTTAACTGTTTCTCCTGGGTGAAAACACGCTTCCCTTCCCATGTTTTTTATCCACAGAATTGCCACATCATCATTTTTTCTGAGAGATGTTGGAAGACACTAGAACTTTGAAATTCTTTTTATGGTCTTGCCTGAAATAGATATAATGTGACTTACTTAGAGTACTATTGTCTATAAAACTGTGATTCACCTTTTTTTTGCATTATACCTGTACTTTGTAACACTAAGTTTGAGAAAAAATATCTTAAAACATGTTTGAAGCCACATGCAAAAATAATTGGATTCTTTCTTTGCTATCAAACCTGAAGCTACCAATACAGTTTTTACTAAACAATGTTTTTCATGCAAGCCAGTTTTTACCATGGATATGATTACAGATATTTGTTCCTTGGCTTACAAACTATCCAGTTCTAAGAGTTTCAGCTGTAGTCACCTCTGATAACAGTGTTTCCTACATAGAACATTAGAACTTAAGAATGCTTTATTTTTTTATTTTTATTTTTTTGAGACGGTGTCTTGCTGTGTCGCCCAGGCTGGAGTGCAGTGGTACAATCTTGGCTCACTGCAACTTCTGCCTCCTGGGTTCAAGCGATTCTCCTGCCTCAGCCTCTGGAGTAGCTGGAACCACAGGTGTGTGCCACCACACCCAGCTAATTTTTGCATTTTCAGTAGAGGCGGGGTTTCTCTGTATTGGCCAGGCTGGTCTTGAACTCCTGGCCTCAAGTAATTCACCCTCCTCAGCCTTCTAAAGTGCTGGGATTACAGGCGTGAGCCACCGCGCCGGCCAAGAATGCTGTTTTCTTTTAAACGTGGGGGTTGTTTAGTTTGCTTTGTATGGTTAATGACAGGGATTACATTTAGAAGTTTCTTATCTTTGCAAAAAATTATTTTCCTTAATTTGCTTAACAAAGTTGCTTGAAGTTCTTTGTGCTTCAAGGCATCTTTAGTTTGTGCCATTCATTTTTCCATCTGTTGGGCACTTTTTGAAGTTAAACCACATTTCCCATTAAAAATAACATGGAAGGCAGGGAACAGTGGTTCACGCCTCTAGTCCTAGCTACCCAGGAAGCTGAGGTGGAAGGATCACTTGGGCCCAGGAGTTTGAGGCTGCAGTGAGCTATGACTGCACAACTGTACTCCCAACCTAGGCATCAGAGCAAGACCCTGACTCTTAAAAAAAAAAAAAAAAAATTGATATGCAGTTGTTAAGACTACTAGTAAACTAAAATATAAATATTCTTCGGTGCATTGTAATTGGCATCATTCAGGTGAACTGGGAGATTCTGTTAGTCCAAGGGAAGTTTTTTTTGCCTATACCTGATGTTAAAAAAAGAAATTAGTATTTCAGAGTAAAGGGTAACTGCTTTTTCTGTATTTTATCATTAGGCTTGTTAGCAGTGGCACAAGATCTTACAGAGGATGAAGAAACAGTAGAAGATTCCATAATTGAGGATGAAGATGATGAAGCCGAGGTAGAAGAAGATGAACCCACAGATTTGGTTAGTGTTACATACTATTTAATATATGTAAAATGTATGTAATTGTATTCATCTGTTCTCATGCTGCTAATAAAGACATACCCAAGACTGGGTAATTTATAAAGGAAAAAGGTTTCATTGACCCACAGTTCAGCATGACTGGGGAGGCCTCAGGAAACTTACCATCATGGCAGAAATTGAAGCAAACATGTCCTTCTTCACAAGGTGACAGCAAGGAGAAGTGCAGAGCAAAGGGTGGGGAAAGCCCCTTATAAAAACCATCAGATCTTGTGAGAACTCACTTTCACGAGAACAGCATGGAGGTAACCGTCCCCGTGATTCATTTACCTCCCACCAGGTTCCTCCCACGATGTGCAGATTATGGGAACTACACTTCAAGATGAGATTTGGTTGGGGACACAGCAAAACCGTTATCAATAGTACATCTAGAATTTATCCTTACTTATTTATTTTTAGAGACAGAGACTTGCTCTGTTCCCCAGGCTGGAGTGCAGTGGCACGAGCATAGCTCACTGCAGCCTCGAACTCCTGGGCTCAAGTGATCCTCTTGCCTCAGCCTCCTGAGTAGCTAGGACTACCGTCATGCCCCAACAAGCCCGGCTAATTTTTGTAATTTTTTTTTGTAGAGACAGGGTCTTGCTATGTTGCCCAGGCTAGTCTAAAACTTCTGGGCTCAAGTGATGATCCTCATGCCTCGGACTCTGAAGGCACTGGGATTATGGGCATGAGCCACCACACCTGGCCTAGAGCTTATCCTTATACAAAAATTTAAAATCCCAACTTTTAGAGGTTTGTTAATGTGATCAAAGTGAATTGAAGTTGGGAGAATAGGCACCAGTCATTGAGAACAGAGCATAAGTATTTTCTGGAACAGGGAAGGAGACATGAAATAGTTAACAATTCAGGATCGTGGTGACATGAGTCTAGAAGGGTAACAACATAGTAGAAATAGCACTGGACCTCATGGTTTCATAGATTTGGAATACCTGCTGCTTCCTTTTCTGACTTATCTCTGTGGGTCTCAGTTTCTTTTTCGCTTGCTTGCTTTTACTCTGTTTTTATTCTTTTTGCTTGCTTGTTGTATTTCTGAATCCTTATGTGCCAGGCACTGTTCTTGGTGCTGGGTGGGCAAACCAGATATTTTCTCTGCTCTTTCAGACTTTTTTTTGGGGCAGTTATATGTGTTTTAATGGCAGGGGGTGAGAAGCAGACAACAAACAGTATGTAAAATATATCTGGTGAAGAATAAGGGGGTTAGAGAAGATCTCTTAAAAGTTGTTCAGCTCTGAAATGTTTACTATGTAATACAACAGTAAGAATATTGGGCTGGAATTGGGATCATTGCAGCATGCATCTAGTTAATTTTATTTCCTCTCTGGAACGACTATAATCCATCCTACACAGCTTTTTTTCTTTCTATTTTCGTGTCATACTTGAACCTGGAACCTCTCATGATTCCAGATTTTGTCATTTCCTTCAAAATTAAACCACTAGTTCCCTATTTTCTTATTTCAGTATCAAAATATTTATTCTTATATATAGATTTCTGCTTCTTTTTTGACTTACTTTCATTTTTATGGAATATGTCTTCCAACTAAGCAAATCTGTTGCTATTTTATTGGTGTTTTTGAGTTATCATTTTTATGCTTCTGCACCTACTGTTTTATCTGGATAGGATGTCCCTAGTAATTTGTGAACTCTCCTAATTTCCCCCTCTTTAGGAACTCCTTACTGATTATCTGTGAGTCAAGCCTTTCATATGTATGTATACACATACCTTTAGGGTTTATGTTAAGACTCCACGTCTTCAACCCAGCCTGCATTAAGTGAATAGCTTTAACTAGATTAATACATTTCTGCTGCATTGTTGTTAATAAATATTTGACTAGTTGTGGTAAGATAACTTAGAGTGATGGTTGGAAGGGAATCCATCTAGGAATTTAGGATTAAAGATGGTATTTGGGGCACTGAAATTTGGGCATGTACTGAAATTTATTGATGAATTATATCGTTGTTACCAATTATATGAAATTACTTGTGCTCTCTGGCACTAGAATGTACTTATTGTGGAGGAAGAGGGTAGAAGAGAGATGCTGAACGCCATGAGGCACGCCTGTAATCCCAGCACTTTGGGAGGCCAGGACAGGAGGATCACTTGAGTCCAGGAGTTTGAGACCGCCTGGCCAAAATAGTGTGACACCATCTCTACTAAAAAAATTAGCTGAGTCTGGTGGCTTGCGCCTGTAATCCTAACTGTTGAGGCAGGAGGATCACTTGAGCCCAGAAGTTCAGTGTTACAGTGAGCTATGAGTGTGTCACTGCACTCCAGCCTGGGTGATAGAGTCAGACCCTGTCTCTAAAAAAAATTAAATAAATAAGTAGAGGGTAGGGAGTAGAGAAGGGAACTGTTAGATCCTTGATAGCCTTGTGTCGTTGACCAGAACTTTTCCATATCTTAATTTCTCCTGTCTTGAGAACCATTAGAGGAAAAAGAACAACTCTGATTATCCACTTTCTACCCTGGCCAATTAGTACAGAAGTGTTAGTACCCTCTGCTTTGTTACTTATCTCAAATCAGAAAATAATTAAGGTAGATTGAAATAGAAAGGCAGGAAAAGTATTACCTTCCATTGTACTAGACCACACCAGCAGGGGTAGGCTTGTGTGTAGACTGTCTAAGAAAGATGGGCCCTCAAAGGCAAGGCTGCTACAGAAGTCACCTCCAGAACTGAATGAGCTAGAAAGTTCACCTACTGCTGCTGTTCCCAAGATTTATCACCCTATACTCAGCTGCCAAGGCATCAAGGGATTGGGAGATATGGAAGGATCCTTTGCCACTGGGCCAGTGTCCTGGAGTCAAGTGAAGGAAAAGGGGGTTTTTCATAAGATCTAAGATATCAACAGCTGGTTTAGACACAGGTTATTGGTTTAGAATTTTTGAGGACAAACCTTTTTTTTTTTTTTAAGTCACCTTGGGCTTTCCCCCACCCCCCCACCACCCAGACAGAGTCTCGCTCTGTCGCCCAGGCTGGAGTGCAGTGGCGTGGATCTCCGCTCACTGCAAGCTCCACCTCCCGGGTTCACGCCAGTCTCCTGCCTCAGTCTCCCGAGTAGCTGGGATTATAGGCGCCCGCCACCACACCCGGCTAATTTTTTGTATTTTTAGTAGAGACGGGGTTTCACCATGTTAGCCAGGATGGTCTCGATCTCCTGACCTCGTGATCCGCCCGCCTCGGCCTCCCGAAGTGCTGGGATTACAGGCATGAGCCACTGCACCTGGCCTAGTCACCTTGGGCTTTTCTAACCCATTGATTATTCTTTTACTCTATAAAACTGGGTCGCAATGGAACTTGCCATCATTCCTGAAAGGTTTTTTTGTCCTCCCCATAGAAATGAGAGAGGTTTTTGTTTTAATTTTTATTAAAACAAGAGCTGTAGTAGTAATAACACTAACTAACTTAAAAAAAATTATTTAGCCAGGTGCAGTGGCTCACGCCTGTACTCCCAGCACTTTGGGAGGCTGAGGCGGGTGGATCACGAGGTCAGGAGATCAAGACCATCCTGGCTAACATGGTGAAACCCTGTCTCTACTAAAAATACAAAAAAATCTGCCGGGTGTGGTGGTGGGCACCTGTAGTCCCAGCTGCTTGGGAGGCTGAGGCAGGAGAATGGCGTGAACCTGGGAGGCAGAGCTTACAGTGAGCTGAGATCGTGCCTGGGCACTATACTCCACTACACTCCAGCCTGGGCAACAGAGCGAGACTCCGTCTCAAAAAAAAAATAGTTATTTAAAATAGATGATATATTCAAATGGCTCAGAACTTACAAGGTACAGAATATATGATGAAAAGTTTCCCTTGTGTGCCTTCCAGCCATGAAGTCATCTCCCTGTAGGCAAGCAGTACCACCAGTTTCTATACTCTCCTCTGGAGATTGTTTGCAATAGCTGAAATATTCTGGAGTTTTACCGGGTAGCAGATACTAAGCGTTATACATCTTACATGCTGAATAGCTGTAAGATAAATGAGTTACTTAGTTTTCCACAATCAGTGTTCCAAACATTTGCCATGTTTAAATCCCTAAATGAGTTTTCAGTCTTGGCAGCAACATTGCCTTCAGTGTCAGAAAGTGAAGAAGGCCATCAAGCATGAACTCTATCAGATTTTGTATTTTCTACTTCCAAATATATTATTCACCCATCGTTCTGCATTTTCTTCTTAATAATGAGTTGTCCTTGTTCTCTTCTAAGGCTAACCCTTCCACCTGTGTTCATCTCTTCCTGCGGAATTTTGTTACATTATTCTTTCCTTTTGTAACGTCAGGCATTAATCCTCCTCAGTGATTTGATTCTGTTAAGCCACACATCTGCTTATACTGTTCATCCACATTTGCTGCACCTACTTATCTTTACCAAGACCGGTGGCTTCTTGAAAGAGAAACAGGGACAGCTTTTCTCTTCTGCTCACTTCACATTTATTCTCTATCATGGTCTGGTCCCATATATCTAGTAAAACTAGTATTGCTAAGGTCACCAGCAACCTAATTGCCTAATTCCTTGTTTTCCGTTGTTATCCTGTTGTAGCTCTTTTCCAGCTCTTCACAGGATAGTTTCATCTGAATGCTCCATAAGTACTTCACATTTTATATGTCCAAATCTTTTGCCATGTGTCCTACTCCATAAACTCTTTATTGTTTTGATATGGCTCCAGTGATTCAAGCTGTTGTCTTGTTACTTCTTCCGTTTGTTTTTATTCCAAAACCCATTAATCAGATATCAGGGATTTCTCTTGCTGAAATATACCCTGTTCCTGTCTATCCCTGTCATTTATGGTTTCAGCCTCTCTGTCTCTGTTCTCTTTTCCTACTTATGGGTCTCTTTTCTCAGAATAGAAACTTACTCTTACTAAATGAATGAAATCATTAAGGATACTTAAAATATAACTTACAACACAGTTTCACAGTCATTGAACAAGTGTGTTTGAGTGCACTCTCTCTTAAGTGCATGAGCTGGATGGTGGAGGATTTTAAAATTATGAGATAATCTTTGCTCTTGACAAGTTTTATCTATTGGAGGAAGGAGTATTTTATGTAAGTGAAAAGTTAAATGCCAATAAACAATGGCATCCTGAAGCATCTCAATTTATTAAGAGTCTGGATACTTCAAAGGTGTGACTGTCTCTAATCCATATTGATGCCTGGAGAAATGATGCTGCACTGTGTTTAAAGTTTTAAATAAAATTTGTTCACATTTTAAAAAAATTTGTTGAGATACAGTTTATGTATCATAAAATTCATCTGTTTTAAACATACACTTAGTAAATTTACCAAGTTCTGCAACATAAATTCAGTTTTAGGACGTTTCTATCAACCCAGGAAGATCTCTGGTCACACTCTTTTTTTTTTCCTTCAAAATTATGTGACTGATCCTCACAGGAAAATTTTGTTAATTAGAATGGAAATCTCTGTAGGCTGTTAACAAGGTACTTGAGAGCAGAGGTGGGCATAATGTGGTTGCAAGCCACATCTAGCGATCCCCATTCATTTACGTATTGTCTGAGGCTGCTTTCACACAGTAGCCCCAGAGTTGAGTTGAATAGTTGCAAGAGAGGCTTTATGGTCTGCAAGGCCATATCTGCTATTTGGCCATTTACAGAAAAAGTTTACCAAGCTCTGTTCTAGAACCTTGGAGTTCACAATATGGTCTGAATACCAGCAGCTTTGGCATTTTCTGGGTGCTTGTTAGAAAGAGAATGATAGGCTTTGCCCTAGACCTGAATTAGATCTGCAACATCCCCAAAGAATTGGTAGGCACATTACTGTTCAAGAGGCACTGCTCCAAAAGTTCTGTTTTAATTAATGAGGTATGATGAAATTCTTATTGCTAATCCCAGCAAAGCTGTAGAGAAGCAATATTTCTTCCTAACATAAAGTGAAGTCTTTATTTCTTTTTTTTGAGTCGGAGTCTTGCATTGGGGCATTCTCAGCTCATACAACCTCTACCTCCCGGATTCAAGCGATTCTCCTGCCTTAGCCTTCCGAGTAGCTGGGATTACAGGCATGTGCCACCACACCTGGCTAATTTTTGTATTTTTAGTAGAGAACGGGGTTTCGCCATGTTGGCCAGGCTGGTCTCGAGCTCCTGACTTCAGGTGATCTGCCTGCCTCGGCCAAGTGCTGAGATTATAAGTGTGAGCCACCGTGCCCGGCCAAATCTTTATTTTTAAATAATGATTTTTTTTTCTCCCATAGTAATCTCCTCTTAATTGTTCTTTTTCTTAGGTAGAAGATAAAGAGGAAGAAGATGTGTCTGGTGAACCTGAAGCTTCACCGAGTGCAGATACAACTATACTGTTTGTAAAAGGAGAAGGTAATACAGAAGTATTAGTTTTAATTCAGATGTAGGCATTTTAAAACGATGAGCTTGTTCATATATATCTGAATACCCATATCTGTAAAGTAATATTGTTGGCATTTAAAGGGAATACGTAGGTGATATAGACACAATAAAAAATAAACCAAGGGGAAAAAATAAAATAAATACTACCTAGTTTAACTAGAAATTGACTGTCCTTTTCAAAGATTTTGTTTTTGAGACAGGGTCTGGCTCTGTCACCCAGGCTGGAGAGCAGTGGCCCCCTCTCGACTCACTGCAACCTTCACCTCCCAGGTTTAATCGATTTTCCTGCCTCAGCCTCCTGAGAAAGATGATGTTTTAAAACTTCTTTAAACTGCCACAGCAAAGTAACTTTGTCTTTTTTTTTTTTTTTTTTTTTTTTTTAAGATGTAGTCTCGCTCTGTCACCCAGGCTGGAGTGCAGTGGTATGATCTCGGCTCACTGCAACCTCCGAGGCCTCCCGGTTTCAAGCGATTCTCCTGCCTCAGCCTCCCTAGTGGCTGGGATTACAGGCACGTGCCACCACGCCTGGCTAATTTTTTGTATTTTTAATAGACAGGGTTTCACCATGTTGGTCGGGCTGGTCTCGAACTCCTGACCTCGTGATCTGTCCGTCTCGGTCTTCCAAAGTGCTGGAATTACAGGCATGAGCCACCGCGTCTGGCCCTTTGTCACATTTTGAGTGTTAACCATTAATGAGATACTTAATTTTTCCAATATGGTCTAGGTTAGAGCCTAGGATTTTTTGTTTGTTTGTTTTTTGAGATGGAGTCTTGCTCTGTTGCCAGGCTGCAGTGCAGTGGTGTGATCTCGGCTCACTGCAACCTCTGCCTCCCAGGTTCAAGTGATTCTCCTGACTCAGCCTCCTGAGTAGCCAAGACTACAGGCACGCTCCATCACGCCCAGCTAATTTTTGTATTTTTAGTAGGGATGGGGTTTCACCATGTTGGCCAGGATGGTCTCAATCTCCACCTCATGATCCGCCCGCCTCTGCCTCCTGAAGTACTGGGATTACAGGTGTGAGCCACCACACCCGGCCAGTGCCTAGGTTTTATTAAAAGAAAATAATTATGGCTGATAATTTATTGAGGGCTATATTCTCAATACTTGGCATGTATTATTTAGTTCTGACAAACCCACTGAGCGTAGTCATTGTCGAACTGAAGTTTGGAGAAGAAACTGGTCAGGGCTCCCAGTTCATAAATAGATTGGAGAACACAGGATCCAGACCTAGATCTGTTGGCCCCATAGCCTGTGCTGTACTCAGTGAAACTCAGCTTTGTAGACTACTGTATAATTATTGAAGACTTAATATTGAAAGTTATGAATTTTCTTGGTCTTCTTACATTTTCTGTTTTATTCTCATGTGCTTTTGAACTTTATGCCTGTAGGAAGTATAATTTTATTATGCTTTTTTTCTTCCATTTTTGTAGCTACATCCTTGGGTCTTAACCTTCAAATTTGCATTTTGATTAATTGCTTAACGTGGATTGGGATTGCCTGATTAATTTTTACGTTCTAACAGATGCTAGTTTTCAGATGAAACTCTTGGACTTTATCTTTTCTTCATTCTTCTATTTACCTGCACAGATAACACTAAGCTGGAGGTGAAGGTGACTTCACCAACACACGTAACCCTGCTGCTTGATTATTTCACTGCCAAAAATACGCAACTCTTTTTTACCACATGATTTGGATGTGATCTGGTCTGAAATTGAGACGCTTATTGAATGCTTATGTGGGAGTGCTAGCGTACAGACAAAAGGGTTTCAGCCTATACAGCAACTTGAACCAATTTCTCGTTAGTAGGTGACTGGAGTGCTCTATTGGAAGGGATTCTGACACCAAAGTCCACAGGAAAGGGTGCCAGAATCCATTAGTAATGCCTTTTTAAATATTTTGTGCTCTTTCCATGTGTTCTAATTTTTTTGTCTCTATTTTGTTTCTCAGATTTTCCAGCAAATAACATTGTGAAGTTCCTGGTAGGCTTTACCAACAAGGGTACAGAAGATTTTATTGTTGAATCCTTAGATGCCTCATTCCGTTATCCTCAGGACTACCAGTTTTATATCCAGAATTTCACAGCTCTTCCTCTGAACACTGTAGTGCCACCCCAGAGACAGGCAACTTTTGAGTACTCTTTCATTCCTGCAGAGCCCATGGGCGGACGACCATTTGGTTTGGTCATCAATCTGAACTACAAAGATTTGAACGTAAGATCCTCTAAACCTTCTTTTTGTTTAAGTTAGAGATGGATGGGGGCGGTGACGTTGTTTAATAGAATATATCTGTTCATTCAGTTGCCTGTTTTGTGGTTGAACCTGTGATAGCCACCAGGGAAGCAAAGATAAATTGCACGTTTCTTCTTCAAGTCTAATCCAGTGGGGGAGGCATATGAAAACAGGCACTAGAACATGCTGATAAGTGATGCATACTAGAGATAAGGGGAATAAGGTGCTATTGTGTGGGAGTGGAAGTGAAAATGGAGATGTAAGTAAAGCTATGAGCCGGATCTTAATGGGAAAAGGAGCAGTAAGACACACAATGGAGTCTACAGCTTATTCAGATGTTAAGATCTGTTGCTGGGTACAGTGGCTCACACCTGTAATCTCAGCACTTTGGGAAGCTGAGGTGGGTGGATCACCTGAGGTCGGGAGTTCGAGACCAGCCTGGCCAACCTGGTGAAACCCTGTCTCTACTAAAAATACAAAAATTAGCTGGGCATGGTGGCAGTCGCCTGTAATCCCAGCTACTCGGGAGGCTGAGGCAGGAGAATCACTTGAACCTGGGAGGCGGAGGTTGCAGTGAGCTGAGATCGCACCATTGTACTCCAGCCTGGGCCACAGAGTGAGACTCCATCTCAAAAAAAGAATAAAAGATCTGTCAAATAATTTGTTTTGTACCTCCTTTTGTTGCTTGCATTTTGCCCATTTTACTACTTCTGTTTGTAAATTTAAAGACTGTCTATAATTGTTTTCCCATCATTTTATGTACTCATAGATAAAATAGAACCATATATTTTCAATGTAGTTTCAGCAGCAAGGTTTATCATTTACTTTTTGATTTAGGAGAACCAAATGTCCTAATATAAGCTCTGATGCCTTATGATTTTTAATAATGTATACTATATATCAGTCATCAATGACTGAATGAGAGAACCCTAGTAGAAATAGGTCCTCTAAATGAGAGCACATCTAAACCATTCCTCTGTCAAAAAGTTTTCAGACGAGGAAATTTTATTTTCTCTTGGAAGCTAATTCAACCTTTTCATTACCCTGGTGTTAACATGTTTACCTTGTGTCTGAGTTAAATTTCTAGTGCTGCAATCAAGTTTTCTTTTTTCTGATTACTTAGTAGAGAAAAGGAAGTATTTTCATCCTGTCCTCAAAATAATAACTTACAGTTATTACTTAACTCTATAGTTAAGTAGCTTAAAGAATTACTGATTTTAGCTTGTTTTTGAGTAGAATAAAATTTAATCCAACAGGTATATATGAAGTTTTAGTTCCTTCTTTTAAATTCACCTGTACCACTTTTTTTTTAATCTGTGTATTATTCCTGAAATTATCAATAGAGGAATGCAAATTGAAGGATCTTGAAGTAAAACTTACATAATTACAGTTTAGCAATAAGTGACAGTTTTGACAATGTACTACCTTTGTGAAGAATAGCTGTGTATTGCCCCAGTGAGTCTAATGCATTTGAAAACTGAAATTGTGAACTGATAAAATTATTTCAAGACCACAACATAAAAATATTTTCATACCTAAAGTGACCATCCCATTTATTATGAAGAAATTGGTTTCCAGCCCACTGTCTTTTTTTTTTTTTTTGAGGTGGGAGTTTCGCTCTTGTTGCTCAGGCTGGAGTGATCTCGGCTCATCACAACCTCTGCCTTCTGGGCACAAGTGATTCTCCTGCCTCAGCCACCTGAGTAGCTGTGATTACAGGCATGCGCAACCATACCCGGCTAATTTTGTATTTTTAGTAGAGAGGGGGTTTCTCCATGTTGGCCAGGCTGGTCTTGAACTCCTGATCTCAGGTGATCTGCCTCGGTTGGCCTGCCAAAGTGCTGAGATTACAGGTGTGAGCCACCGCACCCGGCACCACTGTCATTTTAGAACATGAATTTAACTTTTGTTCCGATCTAGTTCTTAAAATGACCTGCTTCTGCAGCTGCCGCTGTACTCTTCCTTCCTTGTTTTGAAGGATTGCAAACAACAGAAGGTAAAGCTTGTTGGCGTAAGAATGCTGTGAGCTTTGTTTCTTTCTGCACGTTTTATCTCATTTTTATTTTACTCTCTGGGTCCTCACACCACCACCCCTACCCCAGAAGAAAATTCAGGGGACAACTTTGGCAAAGTCGGTGACTTTTTTTAAAGGGGTGTGGATCTCGCTATGTTTGCTAGGCTGGACTCACAAGTCCTGGGTTCAAGCAGTCCTCCTGCCTCAGCCCCCGAGTACCTGGGACCACAGGCATACGCCATCTCACCTGGCCCAGAGACTTTATTTCATGTGAGAAAATAACAATGTTGAGTCCCTGCCACAGAATATTGCAGTTACATATGAATTTGTTGAGTCTTCTAAGTGATGGGAAGGCTATATTCAATCTGTTAGAGTAACTGTTTTAAGTAATGTTACATGTTTTACTTCCTTTATTGCATTTAGATTTTTCTGATTATTTTATTTTCTTAAACAGGGCAATGTATTCCAAGATGCAGTCTTCAATCAAACAGTTACAGTTATTGAAAGAGAGGATGGGTTAGATGGAGAAACGTAAGTGAAAGTTGTAGTATGTAGATCTTGATTTTGCTCGTAAAGTAAGACTGGAAAGCTTGCTCTGTTTCAGCATTGTTTTAGATGTTGACGATGGAATGAACTGTATAGATTTGGTGAAATCCTTACGATATTCATTCATACTTCAGATGATTCTTATAACTATAAAAGTCAAATTAGGAAAGATAGTTGAAACTGATGGAAGAATCTCTTTAAAAGTTAGTATTGGCTTTCTGTCCTTCCTCTCATCTAAATTTTCTACCTCATGCTTATAAACTGTTCACCAGCCTAAACTAAGTCTCGTGCCTCTGAAATTACTATTGAAAACATAAGTTAGAAGATTTTATCTTGAAAAATGTAAGTGTTCTTTCTGAATGATGAATCTTTTTTTACTCTAAACTTATATATAATTCACTTAAGGTAATTTTTAAATTGGATTGTGCAAAATAATGTAATATTCCAGGGAGATGAAAGCTAATGCAATTATTTTATAAACCAAGCTTTTGAATAGAGCATAAATTGTAATTCTATTTTCAATCATAGAGTTTTTTTTAATTGACTAATTGCTCTTAAAGGTAATTTATAAAACTTAACTACCTGGATTTAAGTTGAATACAAAGCATTTTATTCCTTTTCGCCACAAGTTATTTGGAAAGCTTCTATTATGTGTTATAATTATAGTTGTAATTAGACGTGGTATTTCCTCTGAATTAAAGACAGTTCATATTTTCTCCTTTTGTACCAGAATCTTTATGTATATGTTCCTTGCTGGTCTTGGGCTTCTGGTTATTGTTGGCCTTCATCAACTCCTAGAATCTAGAAAGGTAATTATGGATGAACACCTCTTACAGCCGTGTTTCAAAAGTTGTTAAGTACTAAGTTAAGCAGTCTAGTTCTTCGGCCTCATACTGTCACTGTGGGTTTGTATACGTAGAACTTTGTTGTACCTTTTTAAAATAAAACCTGAAGCCTTAGATATGTAAATTGATTCATTTAAACTTACTTTCTTTTTTTTTCTGGAGACAGAGTCTTACTTTGTCACCCAAGGCTGGAGTGTGCAGTGGTGTGATCTTAGCTCATTGTGGCCTCAACCTCCTGGGCTCAAGTGATCCTCTCAACTCAGCCTCCCGGTTAGCTGGGACCATAGGTGTATGCCACCACACCCCGCTAATTTTAAAATTTTTTGTAGAGGCAGGGTTTTGCCATATGCCCAGGCTGGTCTCAAACTCCTGAACTCGAGCAATCTGCCCACCTTGGCCTCCCAAAGTGTTGGGATTACAGGTGTGAGCCACTGCACCTGGCCTCATTTAGACTTTCATACACACATACAATTATTTATTGTCCTTTGTGCCCTCCAGAGTGATATTTACCTTTGGATTGGTATTGTAGCTCTAAATGCTAGAATTTTTATTCCCTAAACTCAGATTTTATTGTTCTGTTTACTTTACTTTTTAATGGGTATGCTATTTTATCTGCAAGTAACCTAGCTTTTATATTTTCTTTAATATTCTTTTTTTTTTTTTTTTTTTTGAGACAGTCTGGCTCTTTCATCCAGGATGGAGTGCAGTGGCACAATCTTGCTTACTGCAACCTCCGCCTTCGGGGCTCAAGTCATCCTCCCACCTCAGCTTCCTGAGTAGTCGAACTACAGGTGCACGCCACCACACCCAGCTAATTTTTGTATGTTTTGTAGAGACAGGGTTTCGCCATGTTGCCCAGGCTGGTCTCGAACTCCTGGGCTCAAGCTGTCCTCTCATGTTGGTTTCCCAAAGTGTTGGAATTGTAGGCATGAGCCACCACACTCAGCCTGCGTTAATACTCTTAATTATAGAAACAATCCTTAATTAATAAACAAGTCCTTTCATTGGAAAAAGAACTAATACATTTTGTTCTCTCAGTCAAAATTCTGTTTTTGTGGTTAGAGTAATAAAATGGTAACACCTAGGGTCTGCCACGATCATGGTTCTCACTCTGGATTCATTCCCTACCACATCCTTATTTCCCTCCTCTTCCCCATTCCCTCACTCACCCTCCTCCTTTCCTTCCCTCACTCACCCTCCTCCTTTCCTTCCCTCACTCACCCTCCTCCTTTCCTTCCCTCCAGCCTACAAAAACAAAACCTATACTATTTCTCTCAGTGGGAAAATATAAACAATTTTATCAAATATGTTAATATAATTCATTAGACCCTAAACAGTTGCTAATCATTTTGGCGATTATTTATTAAGCCTTTAGTCAGGCAGTCAAATCTATATTAAAATTAACAATGAATGTTATTAATAAGCTCTTTCTCTTTAAAAGAGAAATACTTTGTGTTTAAATGTTAATTTCTAAAACTCGCTTTGCCTCATTGTCATAATGGTTGGAATTTTTGCTGTAAATTTGTATATTAGGTATAACTGCATCTCCATTTTTCTTCTATTTAAATGAAACTATTTTTAAGTTATCTCTCCATGTACTTAGGTTCTAACTTACGGATTATATAATTAATACTGTTTCTTATGTAGATAAACTGAGGTTTGTTGGTTTCTTGGGTTTTTTTTTAAAGCAAGGCTAAATGAGTCATTTTTACTTTCTAGCAGTTTTGCTGTAAATACTCTAGGGAGAAAGTTTGAAGTTCTTAAATTGAGGTGGTTAGCTTAATGAGATTTTATGGTTTCGTTTTGTTTTGTCTGTGCCAACTGTTTAATTGTATTTAGCTTACGATGCAGAAACTGCCTGCATGTAACATATCAGCAGTTATCCTGAATTTTGTTGAATATAGAAATAAATTTATTCTTTGATTACAATTTGATTCCTAAAGGGAAATAAAGTCATTGTATAAATAGATACTCTTATGTGGTCCACCAGTGGTACATAACATGAACCTTTATAGCAAGGGGAAAGGTCTTTAAAGCCTGAAAATAAATGTGATGAAGATTTATTCTTTATCATCAGTACTAGACATGATTTTCTCCTTCCCTTTAATAAAGTATTTGAGTAGAAGTATGTTCTAGGAAGACTAGAAGAGAATATAACTTGTTTACCAAGATATTTAAATTAAGTAATTTGATAGGTGTTTTAAAAATTAGAGTAAACAGCTGGTCATGATAGTATGTGCCTATAGTCCCAGCTACTTGGGAGGCTCAGGCAGGAGGATTGCTTGAGCCCAGGAGTTCCAGGCAGCCTGGGCAACATAGCAAGACCTCAACTCTTTTTTAAAAAATATTAAGTAAATGGTGTAACGGAACTCCTTTAAAATATGTCTTTATGTTCTTTTAGCGTAAGAGACCCATACAGAAAGTAGAAATGGGTACATCAAGTCAGAATGATGTTGACATGAGTTGGATTCCTCAGGAAACATTGAATCAAATCAGTAAGTAGTCTTACAGACTTGGCTGGGAAGTTTTTCTCTTAAGTGGAAATTAAATACCTTAGATTTAGTTTAAAAAAAAAACTTTTTCAGTACTATTTAACATTCATCTTTTCCATTACTTGTGTAGAATCTAGTATAGTGATTAATTAAGACCTTAAAGGTTTATTCAGTGTGTAGTCTTCTTATGCTTTAATTTGGAAATTCTTCCAGATCTGCAGCTTATTTATGAATGTGTGAATTTTCTGTGTTCCTAATCCATTTCCTGTCTCTTTTCTTTCTGTTGCTTCAGTGCAGAGTAGAAGAGGTGAGGCATTTAATTTTTTTAATGGTTTTTGCTAGAGAATTGGGGGCTCTCAAATAGCACGTAAATATTTTACGTCAAGTTTAATGAGTAATGGAACAATTTTTCTTACTACATTTTATTAGAAAAACTACCCAGTATAACTTGAAAGAATAAACCTAAAATATTACCCGACAATTTATTTTACAGATACATTTCAGTTTTATTACATATTCAGTTAAAATACTAACCTTTATAAAAGAATATAGAAATGTTTCTTCAATTGTAGGACATTTTAAAAATGTTTATTATAAAACCAATGCAGCCTCATTATAAAAAATTAAATAGTACAGAAGTGAAAAAAATAAGTCAATTCCTGACTTCATTAATCCTATTTATTTATTTATTTATTTATTTATTTGAGATGGAATCTTGCTCTGTCGCCCAGGCTGGAGTGCAGTGGCATGGTCTTGGCTCACTGCTACCTCCGCCTCCTGGGTTCGAGTGATTCTCCTGCCTCAGCTTCCCAAGTAGCTGGGATTACAGGCACGTGCCACCACGCCCGGCTAATTTTTTTTGTATTTTTAGTAGAGACAGGGTTTCACCATGTTGGCCTGGCTGGCTTCGACCTCCTGACCTCAAGTGATCCGCTAGCCTCGGCCTCCCAAAGTCCTGGGATTACAGGCGTGAGCCACCACGCCCGGCCCTATTTTTCATAAATGGTATTATGTTTATATTTTCCATTAATTTCTATATATCTATAAGCATATACGCCTATTGTTTTTATGTGAGTATTTAGTTCAGATTGCATCATGCTGTCTACAACTTCAGTTTTCATACCTTGGATGTCTCTTTGTAGTAACTACATAAATATTTACTAAACTGTTTTTTTACAACTAGACAATATTATTTTATATATATATGTATGTCATGATAGATTAAACCTGTTCTGTATTGGAAGGATATTGGTTACTTTTATTTTTTCACTCCTACAGATGATACTGTAATGAATATTCTTATATATAAATTTATAGGATAACTTCTTAAAGGTAGAGTAACTAGGTCTAAGATTAAATACACTGAATTTTTATGGAAGGGACCCCATTTCCCTCCTAAAAGGGGAAAAAAAGGTAGTGCCAATTTATGTTCTCAACCATGCACAATATTGCCTATTTAATCTGTCGGTATGATATAAAATGAGTGTCTTACTGTTTCATTTGCATTTCTTTAAGAATGAGGTTCAGCTCCTTTATACATATTCATAGTTGACCCTTGAAAGACACAGGTTTGAACTGCTTGGGTTTCACTTTATATACAGATTTTTTCAATATAATTGACCCTCGGTATATTGGTGGGTTCCACATCTGCAACCAAAAGCAGATAAAAAATACAATATTTGGCCAGGCGTGGTGGTTCACACCTGTAATCCCAGCACTTTGGGAGGCTGAGGCAGGAGGATCGCCTGAGCCCAGGAGTTTGAGACTAGCCTTGGCAACATAGTGAGACCCCATCTCTACAAAGAATGAAAAAAAAATACATGTGTTGACGTGCGCCTAGGCTGAGGTGGGAGGATTGCTTGAGCCTGGTAGGTCCGTGATTGCTCCATGATGGTGCCACTGCACTCCAGCCTGGGTGACAGTGAGACTCTGTCTCAAAAGAAAAGGTGGGGGTGGGGAGGAAAGGAAATCATTGAGGAGCTAAGCTCTGAGGACGCAGAGGCATAAGAATGATATAATGGACTTTTGGGACTCGGGGAAGGGTAGGAGGGGGGTGAGGGATAAAAGACTACACATGGGTTATCGTATACACAGCTTGGGTGATGGATGCGCCAGAGTCTCAGAAGTCACCACTAAAGAACTTACCCATGTAGCCAAACACCATCTGTCCCTCAAAACTAGTGAAATAATAGTAAAATAAAATCTATTAAAAAAAAAAAAAGGAAATCACAGTTTTTGCAGGATACCAAACCTAAGTACAGGGAAGGCTTTTTGTATCCACCGGTTCCTCAGTGCTGACAGCGGAACTTCAGTATGCCTGGATTTGGGTGGGGTTGCCGTGGGGGAGTAGTCCTGGAACTAATTTCCTGCAGATAATAGAGATGACTGTATTGGCTAGGGTTTCTTTTCCTGTGAATTGGCTGTTCAGGTCCTTTTCCATTTTTAAATTGTTTTCTCTACTGCTTTCTGTGAGCTAGCTGTCTCTTTCTGTGAGCTAGCTGTCATATTGCAGTATAGCAGTTGCTTTATGAAAGGTGGGTTCAAAGTAACAAGAGCACAGGAGGAGGTCAGCACTAGACCCGAGTCTTGAAAGGTTGGGTGAGAAGGAGTCTTTAAGGTTTTATGAGCTATGCTAACAACTTTTGACTCCTAGGTCAAAGAGCCACTTTAAAGGAGAGGAATTACAATTGTGTTTTAAAAATTATGGTAAGCTGGGCATGGTGGTGTGCACATGTAGTCTCAGCTACTGGAAATGTTAAGGCAGGAGGATCGCTTGAGCCCAGAAGTTCGAATCCAGCCTCGGCCACATAGCAAGTCTCCCATCTCTAAGAGAAAAAAAAGAAAAGAAAGGAAAAATTAGGATCACTTTGTGGAGGACTGCAAAGGAGCTGCTGGAAGCAGGGTTACCAGTTCCGCGATTTCAGTAAAGCACAGAAGTCACTGGGGCCTAAGCAGAGGCAGTGGTGATAGGAGTAAAAGGGAGTAGAAGGATGTTTCACAGGTGGAGTAGATGGGGTTTTTTATGACTGGATGTGTTAGTGAGGGAGGAATGAAAGAGCATTCTGAACTTAGGCAACTGGGTGAAAGCTGATCCCATTAATGTCCCATAATCTAGGAAAGAGAAGCATGGAAGGATGAGGAGAGATGTGTTTGGATTAGCTATGCTGAGTGTGAAAAACCTTTGGGACTCCCAGATAAGGATGTCCAGGAAACATTTGAAAGTTCTGTTTCAGAGCACAAGTGAATCAAGATTTGGAAACATTGGGACATATAGCATCAGTGGTAGCTCAAGTCATGGGAGCTACACATCTGTTTTTTTTTCTTTTGAGACAGGATCTCACTCTGTCACCCAGGCTGGAGTGCAGTTACGTGATCATGGCTCACTGCATCCTCGACCTCCTGGGCTCAATCCGCCCACCTCAGCCTCCCAAATAACTGGGACTACAGACGCACACCACCATGCCCAGCTGAATTTTTATATTTGTTGTAGGGAGGGGGTTTCACCATGTTGCCCAGGCTGGTCTTGAACTTACGGGCTCAAGTGATCTGTCTACCTCAGCCGCCCAAAGTGCTGGGATTATAGGTGTGAGCCACCATGCCCAGCTCACATCTGCATATAACAGTGATGCTCACACAGATGGCTGTTAAATCCTAGAGTACTTTTTGAATCCTCAAAAGACTATGTTCAGCATACTGCTTATTTGAAAAAGTTTTATTTAGAGATTGGTTGTCTGTAAGGGCAGTAGTTCCTAGTCTAACCTTTTTGAAAATCTGATAAAAGTTGTAGACTTTCTTCATCAGAAACATTTGTCTGTACTCACAGCTCAGTTTTAGGTAAGTTGAAGAGCCCCTGAAACCATCTATTAGTAACCTACTTAATGAAGTAGTGAGAGCAGTTTTCTGGGTTTTTTTCACACTTGAAAAGTGAGGGCAGTTTTCCTGTGATATGTAGGCTCTGTCTTAATATTTTAGCCCTTAACTTTTTTTATTTTTCTGAGACACGGAGTCTTGCTCTGTTGCCCAGGCTGCAGTGCAGTGGTGTGATCTCGGCTCACTGCAACCTCCGGCCCCTCGGTTCAAGTGATTCTCCTGCCTCAGCCTTCCAAGTAGCTGAGATCACAGGCGTGTACTGCCACACCTGGCTAATTTTTATAGTTTAGTAGAGATGGGATTTCATCATGTTGGCCAGGCTGGGCTGGTCTTGAACTCCTGACCTCAAATGATCTGCCTGCCTCAGCCTCCCAAAGTGCTGGGATTACAGGCATGAGCCACTGTGCCTGGCCTTAGCCCTTAATCTTAAGGAGATTTCTTTGAAAAATGTGTAGTCTTTAAATATTCTTGGCTGGGCCAGGTGTGATAGTGTGTGCCTGTAATCCCAGCTACTTGGGAGGCTGAGGCACGAAAATCGCTTAAACCCAGGAGGTGGAGAGCGGAGATCGTGGCACTGCACTCCAGCCTGGGCGACAGAGTGAGACTCTGTCTCAAAAAAAATAAATATTCTTGATAAACATTTACTCATTTTCTAGGCATGGTGATCTCATAATTTGGGGGGTGAGAGATCTTTTGAACAGATTTTTTTTTTCCATTTTATGAAATGCTTACAGATAAGCCCCATGCTTTGGTGAAAATCACTTTCTAGCCCTTCACTTTTTTTAACTGGAAAAAATGATTTTTATTTCTAACTTATTCTACAGTATACAAACATACCAAAAAAAAACAATACGAAATCAATGAATGCAAAATCAATCAAAATCAATACAAAAACAATTATACAAGTAATTTCTAACTTATTCTAAAATCTTCCTAATATGTAAAGTACCCCCCAGAAAGTAAGACAAGACAATAATAGAGGGAAGGTACATACATCCAGCCTTTCACTGGTTGAGGAAACTTATAAATGACACCTCTTACCAAATGGAAGTAGAAAAACCCACCACAAATGTATTTTCTGTTAAATAGACCCTACTGAGAATCTAACAAACATATGGGAGATACAGCTTGTGTGCATAGAATTGTTTTAGCATTGAAATACTGATTTCCTTTATTCTGCTGCTTATTCCAGGTAAATTTATGAAATTGAAAAATTATGCAAACTGCATGACTGCATTTGTAAATACAAAATCAGCAGTTTTTAAGCGTTTACTTATGCATGTATAAACTTGGTTAAGTTATAGAATTGAAGATTTTGCATGGTGTCTTCAGCAGTACAATAACCAAGTTTAAATCTCTTACCCACCCTAATTGCAAAACACTTTCATTTTAATTGGGGTTACCTCTTGAAGGATTATGTTAAAGATTGTTTTTAAAACCTAGAGCTAGATAGGAGGCATTCATTATTAGATGGTGTTCACCCATGTGTGTGTGTAACTTAGTGGTAAAGTTGAAGGTAAATACTTTTTAACATGTCTTTTGAATTCAATATACTTATAATAGGCAAGCTTAAAACTTTCTCTTTTCTTCCAGATAAAGCTTCACCAAGAAGGTTGCCCAGGAAACGGGCACAGAAGAGATCAGTGGGATCTGATGAGTAAATGTTCCTTTGTGCAACAATTCGGTCTTTACTTAACCTGCCCTAATATTTTTCGGCCTGATGGGAATTAGTGCAGAGAAGCCATGTCACCATAGAAGGCAACTCCTACTTGTGTGTGGACTGAGCAATCAGAGTCTGTGGCGATAATATTGCTGAAAATGCACTGCATTCATTTTTCTAAAGTAACAAATTTGGTTTTTTTTTAAACCATTAAAATCTATGTGTGTGCGTGTGTATGTATGTGAGCAGTTGGTCTTACCAGAATCATTGTTGAACTACCTGAAACAAGTCTTTAGAATACTAAATATAATGCTGTTGTCTCTTCCTTTTTGACATTTTCTGATTTTTTCCCCCAAAACTCAGTTAATATTTACCCACTATGATTATTGATGTCCTGCCTTGAACAGTTTTAAAGAAAACAATTTTTGGAATAGCTCAAATTTCAATTGATGGCACAAATCAGCATTTTGTTGTTGTTACTGTATTACAATTAGTATTCTAAAGGCAGAAGCAGAAGTAGCTGCTTTTTAGCAATAGAATTGTTTCAGTATTTTGCTGCTGTTTAATGCGCATCTTCAGAAAACTTCCCAGTGGCTTCAAGGAATTTGGGGATCTCTCTGGCAACAAATTGTGAAACATGAAATTTCTGCTGACTTTAATATATGAAACCTAATCCTACCCCCTTTTTTAACAAAAAGAAACTAGTACATTTGTGAAAATTGTGTTGTGTTGTCCATTGTTGCTCTAGTTCTGACCCAGAGGTAGCTCTGGAGTGATTTTAGACCTACTCACTCAGTTGTGTGTAGGTTTTTTTGTTTTGTTTTGAGAGAGAATTTTTCTCTCCTTAATAGAAGCATCCTTTTTAAAGAGAAGTTGCCTTGGTCCACACACTAAGCAGAAAACCAAGTTATCAGGACAGAGATATTTCCCAGTTACTCCTAATCAATGAAGAAAGTGAGTTGGATATTTTTAAAGCAGTTAACTAATTTTTTCTTACCTAATCTTTTGGGAGTTTTGCTTGTTGATATAACCTTTTTAGTTAACCTGAAAGATTCCAAAAATTGTTCTTAAGTGCTTGAGACTGGAACCAAAATTAAATTGTACTTCATAAAATCCTCTTATAGAGTTACTCTTGCCCTAGATTGTAAATTAAGTTTGGCATTATTGTCAGACTGGATGGAGGGTGAAGTAAAATAGTATGAACAATTAAGAGGCTCTCCCCCTCTTGTCTTTAAGCCATATTCTCCTACATGTATTTTATAAGAAAATGTTAAGTCAAATTTTAGTGGCTCTTTAATTCCTGACCTCTTCATTCTCCTTTTCAGTATAACCTCCCCTATGCTCATGCCCACACAGACAAAAAAACAAAACGAAATACACACAGAAAAAAGTCTTTCCAAACTGTTTAAGTATTTAAACATCTGAGCCAAAGCAGATAGAAGTTATTGTATAATTGTTAATCACTTTGCAAATAGGGGCTATCAAATTACCTATATTGGCATTGCTGGATTATAAACTCTATATCTGTAATATAAAGTGTTTGAGTTTTTAATTGGGCTGTTATGATCAGTAGTTGATTTTGAGAAAGCTCTATGAGCTCTAAGTAACTGCATGGTTTTTTGTTTAATGTAATATAGGAGACCCTTCACATTCCCAAGGAATATATTCCAAAACATTTTTGTGAATATCTAAGTTTGTGAAACTACTAGGGCATGATACAGTAAGGTGTAATTACAGAATTTACGAAATGTAAATGGCCTCTACAGAGTTTTATGGAATACCTGGTACTAACGTAGGCAGCTGCAAAACCACACTGAGTTACAGCTGTCAGCCCTCCTCATTCCTAAATAACTTGCCTTACATATCAGCCCTCCCACTTCTGAAGTTCAAATTAGTGCCTCGGAAATGTAGAATTTATTATTTGTCATTTTTTTTTTTTTAGCATAGATTGAGAACAGTTGAACTCTTAAATCCTCAGATGCCAGGGGTCTGCTCTAGCATCAGTAAGTATTTAGCAGAAACTAACTCCGTAATGAATGGAATTCAATTCCACACATGGTTTGTTCAAGCACACTTAATAAGTAGCCTATTTTTTAAATGTCTTTTTAAAATGTAAATATTTGGATGAAGTTTTTCTTTGTTTTGATATATTCATTTGCTACACCAACTATGTTTTCAGAATTCATCTTTTGAACAACTTGGTTTCAGAATATGTAAAATGACTTTAAGGATCTTGTGTATCAAACCTATCCCCGGATGTGTGAGAATAATGTGTTCATAAAGCATGGATCTCGCTTTGGTTGTATAGCTTCCTCATTTACTTCATGGTCTTACATAGCTGGTGACTTTCAGGGCTAATCTGCCCTCTAAAGCATTGTCCCAGGAGAGGAAAAGGAAATGGGACCTCAGAAGTAGAAGCCTCAGGGAAGGAGTAAAGTAGAAATCAGAAGAAAAGAAGCTTCACTTGATAGTAATAAGGTTTTTAACTTCAAGTACCTTCAGAAAATGTGATTTTGATAAGAGGAAAGGGCAAATTTAGACCTTAAAAAATATGGAAGAACTACTGCCTTAAAAGTGCATTTGTGGCACATCAGCCTAGAACTGTATCATGGCTGTGCTGGGGAGAAGTAAATGGTGGTAATGTAACATTGCCACCTTTACTTAATGATGTGTTATTTTCGAGGTACAGTAGATCAATATAGTAATAGGCGAGCCTCATATATAGCATTCATCTTGTACAATGATATCCATACCCTTGATATGAAGGAAAATTGACTTGGTTTGTGCATTTGAATACTGAAATAATTTTTTAAAACTCAGTGACACATACCATCTCTTGCCAAGACTAGACCCTGTATTTTAGTTCCTAAATTAGATGTTTAAATTTAAAAACATTTTCAGATGTACTTAAGTACTTCCATAGTACTTTTTTTTTTTTTTTTTTTTTTGCCCCCTGAGACGGAGTCTCTGTGTCACCCAGGCTGGAGTGCAGTGGTGCGATCTCGGCTCACTGCAACTTCTGCCTCTTGGGTTCAAGCAGTTCTCCCTGTCTCAGCCTCCTGAGTAGCTTGGATTACAGGCGCCCGTCACCGCACCTGCCTAATTTTTGCATTTTTAGTAGAGACGGGGTTTCGTCATTTGGCCAGGCTGGTCTTGAACTCCTGACCACAGGTGATACGCCTGCCTTGGCCTCCCAAAGTGTGCTGGGATTACAGGCGTGAGCCACTGTGCCCGGCCCACTGTTCACTTTTTGAATGGCATCATTTTATAGCTGTAGAACTAAAATCAATGTTTGCCCCAATTTTCTTAAGTAAAACTCTACTTTGAGCTCTTACCTCCAACTTAGTAAAAAGCAGCTTCACACACAAACAAGATTCTTACTGGTGGAATGTTAGGTTTCGTTGTTAAGTTAATCTGTCTATAAGCTCATCCTTAGAGGATATTTGAGGAGGAAGAACACCTTGCAGCTGACTTGCAAACATCTAAATAATTTATTTCGGGTGCTTATGAATGTTACTAATGGATTTTGTATGAATTTTTATCCCTTTTCATTTATACAAAAACCTGGGCTTTTATGTTAATTATATCATCTGAGGTTCTAAGGTTTTTTTTTTAGATTTTGAAATTTAGGGATAATAGCTCTTAGGTTTGGGTACCACTTTGCTGCAGTTTAAGAAAGGGGGAAGGGAACTCATTTATTAAACATCAATCACGTGCTGTGTTCTGTTTGTTTTCTAGTCATCATATCACACACCTTTACGACAGCTCACTGAAGGAAGGTGATACTGTTCCCATTTTGTAGATGGAATAGACAAAACCTGAATTTAAGTAGCTTGCTCAAGGTTCCATATTGAATATGGAAAGTTCAAATCATCTCAGTAATGAATATACCATATATACTTGCTGTATTGTATCTATGATAATTCAGTTACCCACAATACCCTTTTAAATTTCTGTTAATGACATACCTTTAAATGTCTCCTTGATGAACAGAATCATGGTCTTTAAAAACATTTTCATGGGTTGATTGCATTTTCAAGCTCTAAAGGATTGAAAGATAAATCTTCACGTTAAAGGTAAGAGTGAAGTATCTGCTCTTGGGTTACAGAACCAGATAGTACTAGAACTAAGATTACAGGGTAAAGCTGCTTTTATCTTTTTTCTTTTTCTTTTTCTTTTTTTTTTTGACATGGGGTCTCACTGTATTGCCCAGGCTGGAATGCAGTGGCATGATCTCAGCTCACGGCAGCCTCTGCCTCTTGGGCTCAAGCGATTCTCCTGCTTCAGCTTTCCAAGTATTTGGGACCACAGGCGCACACCACAGGCCTGGCTAATGTTTTTGTTTTGTTTTTGGTAGAGACGGGGTTTCACCATGTTGCCAGGCTGGTCTCGAACTCCTGAGCTCAAGTGATTCACCCACCTTGGCCTCACAAAGTGTCAGGCTTACAGGCGTGAGCCACTGCGCCCGGCTCACAGGGTAAGGCTTCTGTCTGGTGTGTTGTATTACGGATTTTGCTTAATAGGCACAGTGAGGCATTAAAAAGAAAATTCAGTATGCCTGTAGAAAGGATAATCCTTGTTTAAAGTCTCCAAATTGCAGTCAAAGATGTTTTGACTGTGCCTTTTTTTGTTCCCCTGCTGTCCCTTATGTAGACTTCTGTCAGTACCCATGGCAGCCTGTCATCTTGTTGACATCTCCTTCTGGACTGTGAGCTCTGTATCTGGCTTGTTTTTCATCCCCAGCTTCTAGTTCACAATTAGGTAGAACCCTATTACTCTTTGAAGAAGGAACAAGAAAATGTGGGCCAGTTTTCATTTGCCATTCTTCCATGTGAGTTAGTATGGTTCGTAAGTATTCCTGGTGATACGCTAGTATTGGCAATTCTGTGAGGTTGAACAAAGGGGTGGTATGGTGTGCTAGCGTGGGAATTAGGAGACCTCTGGGTCTTGACAGTGCCCTGGCCACTAAGCAAAGGCAGTTCATCCTTGGAGTCTCAATGTGCTTTTTTGTTAATTGAGATATGCTTGAAGTATCAGCCCTAAATAGTCTGATTCTGTGACCTACAAACCCTTACTTAATTCAGTGTTACTATAAATGATTCTTCCCTTAAACCTACTTTTTACTTAGCAAAAGAGAAAAAAAAAAAAAGGAAACGCTCATGTCAGGCTGCCTGGGTTTGAACCCCAGATCCCCTCTTAGTTGGAGGCAAGTTGTATGATGCTTCAGCTTTTGGTTCCTGCCTCCTAAGGTTGTTAGGAGTTACTGTGTGTAGCTGCTTAGAACATTGCCTGGGTCTCAGTAAGCCGCTTAAGTGACTGCTCTCATTTTCGCTGTAAAGCACCATACTGTAATAACATCCCATGAAGCATGGGGCGGGGAAGAGTATATGGTACCTTATGGACTTTGATGTGGTGGGGTAGTAGGTAAATTCTGAATATGTAAGCTACATAGTATTCTTTTTGTAACTAAAGGATAAAAGTTTTAAGATGGGCATGTAATATGGCTAGCACTGGATTTTAATGATGAGCCAGAGTAATAAGGCTGGCAAGGGGAGTTTTTGTTTTGTAATAAATCTCTTACACCTGCACATCCAGTTCTTTTTAAAAACACGTTTGAAGAGGCTCCATATTTCTCAGTGAAGCTGTTGGGGTTCATGTTATTTTTGAAAATCATCTTGCAATTTATTTCAGCATCAGACTGAACCACCCAAAGAAAATTAGTCTATTTCTGAACAGTTTTTTCAGAAACCATATTGGTCTGATCACCCAACATTTATAGAAATAGGCGCTTAAGGCCTAGAGGCATTTCAGAAAGGAGAATGAGAAATACTGTGGTCAAGAGTAGTGTTCAGATGGAGAACATCAAGCATCTGCTCTGCCCTTCCACACACATCCTCATTTCATCTTCACAACTGCCCTAGGTAACCTTGTTATCTGTAATGAAACAGCCTCAAGGAGCACAGAGGCACTCACTCCTCACGTTTGGTCTGTTGCCATTTCCGGCTTGGTTGGAATAGGGTAGGAGCCTTTTGGCAGGGAGCACATTCTCAGTAATGCAGAGTGCACTCACCTGGGTTCTAGCTTCAACACTTAGGATTTGCTTGATATTTTGTATTCTCTGAGGCACTGCCTGTATTTGTTTCTGCTATCACAGTCCAGAGTCAAGCTTCATTTATAAAGACTGGGCAGGGCATGGTGGCTCACTCCTGTAATTCCAGCACTTTGGGAGGCTGAGGTGGGTGGATCACTTTAGGTCAGGAGTTCAAGACCAGCCTGGCCAACATGGTGAAACCCCATCTCTACTAAAAAATACAAAAAGGCCGGGCACGGTGGCTCACACCTGTAATCCCAACACTTTGGGAGGCCAAGGTGGGCAGAACACCTGAGGTCAGGAGTTCAAGACCATCCTGGCGAACATAGTGAAACCTCGCCTCTACTAAAAATACAAAAATTAGCCAGGTGTGGTGGTGCATGCCTGTAATCCCAGCTACTTGGGAGGCTGAGGCAGGAGAATTGCTTAAACCTGGGAGGTGGAGATTGTGGTGAGCTGAGATCGTGCCACTGCACTCCAGCCTGGGAGATAGAACGAGACTCCATCTCAAAAAAGAACAAAAACAATTAGCCGAGCGAGGTGGTGCACGCCTGTAATCCCAGCTACTCATGAGGCTGAGGCAGGAGAATCACTTGAACCCAGGAGGAGGAGGTTGTAGTGAGTCAAGGTTGCACCACTGCACTCCAGCCTGGGTGACAGAGTGAGACTGTCTCAAAAAATAAGTACATAAATAATAAGTAAAAGCTACTAACAATTAAAAAATAAATAAATAAAGACAAGACTGTCTGGAAAATGGCTCTCCTAAAAGGACCAGTTGCCATCATCCACAGTGGAAGATTCAAAGCAGTTGGTCCTTGGTACGTATGAGAAGCGGATTTCATTCCCTTGAATTCTACAGAGCAGTTTATTAGAGTGAATGCATTTTAAGGCCTTGCATTTGATATGTCATCCAGTTCATAATCAAGTTGCCTTTTTCTGGCTAAAACATAATGATTATGTATTTTTCTCATTTGGTCCTACAAGCTGCTGGCCCTTTGTCCCTCCACTGTGGGAATCAGATCTAGAGGAGGCTGAGCCTGCAGACACAGCAGTGGCCAAAAGGTCACTCTAAGTGTTTTGTCTTGACTCCTTACTTGAAGTCCACCCAGCTAGCACACATCTGGTTTATACTGAAGCCCCCTGCCTAGAAATACTCATTTCAGGAACCACCAGTAAGCATCTGTGACCACACAGGCTTTTTGACTGATGGCTTCCCGGATCTGGTTTCAAGGGATAACCCCGTCTGTGTGCATCTATGGTCTTCTCTCTACAGCGAGGACTTTGCAGTGCTGCTTGTGGTCCACACAAGGGGCTCAGAGCTGAGTCTGAACTGCTTCATGGTCACCAGCTCCTGTCCCTTCCAGTCTTGAGAGGCTTTTTTCTCCAGATGGAACCTTTCCTTCCCGCCGTTTTCTCGGTCTCTGGCTGTTTTTCTCTTGTGCCCGTCTAATTGGACACCTCCTGGCTTCCATCTCTGTGGTTCTCCTGCCTCACTTCCTGTTCTGTTGTTTTTCCGTTTTGTCAAAATATCTCCTATGTTCTTGGCTTCCTTTTCGTCGCCAGGTTTTCAGCTTTCCTTTAGCTCTTCTTCTAATATGGCTTCTGCCCACAAAAGCCTGCTCTGTCAGGATCTCATGGTTCTCCACTTGCCAGAACCTTCTTCAGCCTCAGTTCCTCGGCCTCAACTTGTACGTTTAACCCATTGACCACCACCCCCCAAATTCACCTTCATTTCTTTGACCCTGCTCCTCACTCCTTTTCTGTTGAGGAATCTGTTGACTAACTCCAGGCTCACTCAGGCTCACCGTCCTGCTCTCTGCACCAGCCTTTCCAGAGCGTGCCAGTTCTCATGGCTTCATCTGTTAACTGTTGATCACTTCAGTCCTGATTTTTAGACCTAAATGGTTTCCTTAACGCCATTCTAACTGCCTGTGACTCATTTTCACTTACAGTGTTTATTGTAACGCCAAACCAACAAATCACAGGTGCTTGCTTCTCTCCATAAATCTCCCCAGTCTAACTTTTTGTCATTCAACATGACTCGTTTATCCAACCTGAAATCGCATATAGCCCCAAGTATGGTGTTTTGTACACAGGTATTTAATAAGTGACTTCCAGTTTTGGCTCTGCTATGAATAAAAAGAGATTTCAGTTCTCTTCACTTTGAAATCTAACAACTCAGAGAACATTGAAGAAATTGGAATTTAGTTGGGATGAAATACTTGTGGTTTAAAATATTTCTGTTCATATTTTCTAATTTGTTGCCGGAGGTCTTGGGTTTTCTATTTGAGTGCTTGCAAACTCAATGTGATTTCTGTCAGCATATCTTAGGTTTGTTTGTTATGAAACTTATGCAGTGTGAGGTTCTATCTGAAAATGTTATTTAGCTATCTTCTGGGACTATTTAATGAAAGTGGGGTCATGAATCCTTAAAATTCTTGTGCAGCTTTGAGAAACATTTCTGTTATTTGGGTATCAGTTTGTAAGTGTGGTAAAGCCAAGATGGAAACGAGCACTTTGCTTTCTTGGTTGTTGTTACTGGTCTAACCTCCTGCTTGAACTAGTCTGCTGTCCTGTCAAATGCATCTTTTTATTTACATGTCCCTTAAATTAAAGCTGATCATGAAAGTATTTGTGTGCAACATGAAATGTTTTCTAAAGTACCAGTGCATATTCCTGCTTGGTCTCAAGACGCACGAGGAATCCAAAATAGAAGCAAAAAAAGAAAAGAAAAAAAATCACAATTTTGATCGGAATGTCCTCCTGGAAATTATTTAAAAGTTTGGCCGGGCACGGTGGCTCACGCCTGTAATCCCAGCACTTTGGGAGGCTGAGGTGGATGGATCACAAGGTCAGGAGTTCAAGACTACCTTGACCAATATGGTGAAACCTCGTCTCTACTAAAAATACAAAAATTAGCTGGGCGTGGTGGCACGCGCCTGTAATCCCAGCTACTCATGAGGCTGAGGCAGGAGAATCACTTGAACCCGGGAGGCAGAGGTTGCAGTAAGCTGAGATCACGCCACTGCACTTCAGCCTGGGTGCTTCCGTCTCAAAAAAAAAAAAGTTCACACATTTTTAGACATTTCAGTGATGTTTTAGAATAAAGGTGATTTAAGATTGGTTTTACAGGCACTCTTGGGCTGTCAGCTAGTTGGCTTTTCAGATGATGATCATAAAGACACTCCCCCTCACGCAGGTATATGAGTAAGTAAGGTCTACCCCATCCACACTCCCATACTGACTTTCCATTCCCAATAATTGCACAGACTGCATACTCTGATCGCTTATTAAACATTTCTAAGGAAGCCGAGATGGATCTTTGATGTAATTTTCTCATCTGTATACCCAGCCAGTAAGTCAGTAGCACCTAAGATTTCTTTCCCTTCAAGATTGTATTCTAAGCAGTAGAATTAAAGTGTTCTTCATAGAAAAAGTAACTTTTAATTAGAGGCTGTGCAAACTCTGGAGAATCAGTCTTTGTTACCAGATAATAATGTTTTTAGCTTTTTCTGCTGAGAGGAAAAAATGCTTTGAAGAATAAAAAATACTAGAGCATAACAAGCTTGGGGAGTTAGGAAAAAATATATTAGGGCAGTAAGAACCAGCATTACGTCTTCTCTGCAATGCTTGAAACATTCAGTATTAAACTTTGGATTAATCCAAAGTCTGAAGAGAAATACACCAAAATGCTAAAGCCGTTTTTGGTTAGGATAGTGGACTTTTTTTTTCTTCTTCAGAATGTTTGTAATGAGCCTATATTTTATAATGGAAGCAATAAATGCAAATGTGAAATTTATCTGAGCCTCCTACAATGAGTATAATAAATCCAGTGGTTGTGGATAGCTTATTTGTGGCCCCAAAAGAAACGGAGCCACTTTTTAAAACTTGGATGCATTGTCACTACATAGTGAAAGAAAATCAAGATATTCTTTTTTTTTTTTTTTTAAACGGTGTCTCACTCTGTTGCGCAGCTGGAGTGCAATGGCGCAATCTTGGCTCACTGCAACCTCCGCCTCCCGGGTTCAAGCGATTATTCTGCCTCAGCTTCCTTAGTAGCTGGTATTACAGGAATGTGCCACCACGCCCAGCTAATTTTTGTATTTTTAATAGAGACGGGGTTTCACCATGTTGGTCAGGCTGGTTTTGAACTCCCAACCTCAGATGATCCACCTGCCTAGGCCTCCCAAAGTGCTGGGATTACAGGTGTGAGCCACCGCGCCCAGCCCAAGATAAGAGTCTTTTTTTGTTTTTGTTTTTTTGACACAGAGTCTTGCTCTGTCATCCAGGCTGGAGTGCAGTGGCGTGATCTCGGTTCACTGCAAGCTCCGCCTCCCGGGTTCACCCCATTCTCCTGTCTCAGCCTCCCGAGTAGCTGGGACTACAGGTGCCCGCCACCACACCCGCCTAATTTTTTGTATTTTTAGTAGAGACGGGGTTTCACCGTGTTAGCCAGGATGGTCTCGATCTCCTGACCTCGTGATCCACCCACCTTGGCCCCCCAAAGTGCTGGGATTACAGGCGTGAGCCACCGCACCCGGCCCCAAGATAGATTCTTAATAGAAAACCCTTGAAAGTATTTCTCCTTTTCAGGGACTCAGCCTTTCTCTTTGCTGTTTGTAAAAACATGAGCTCCTCTCTGCTGCCGAGTTGGTGCCAGGCCAGTGCTCAGTGCAGCCACTCCTGCCCCACCCCCTTGCCTCTCGGGCTTTATGCCCACAAGAGTCCAAGCCACTCTATCAGATCCTGACTCTTCTCTTCTGGAAACTCTCCTCTGGCTTCCACTGGCATCTAGGTGAGCACAAGTGCTCCACCACTGCCTGCAGGGCTCTCCAGTATCTCGCCCTCCCTGCCTTGCCCCTTCCTGTGCTGCCCTCCAGGCTTCCTGGCCAGCCACCTCCTCATCTTCTACCCTGCCAGGCTTGTCCAGGATCAGGGCCTTGGCAGTAATCCCCTCTGCCCAGGTCTCAGCCCCCATCTTCCCTGCTCTTAGTCTTCCTGAAAACTCCCCTCATGGAAGGCCCCACACACCCTGCTCTGTTCTCATTATCTTCACCACTATCAGAAGTTACCTTGGGCTGGCCGCAGTGGCTCACACCTGTAATCCCAGCACTTTGGGAGGCTGAGGTGGGCAGATCACTTGAGGTCAGGAGTTCGAGACCAACCTGGCCAACATGGTGAAACCCTGTGTCTACTAAAAATACAAAAATTAGCCAGGTGTGGCGCGCACCTGTAATCCCAGCTACTTGGAAAGCTGAGGCAGGAGAATCACTTGAACCCGGGAGGCAGAGGTTGCAGTGAGCCGAGATCATGCCACTGCACTGCAGCCTGGGCGACAGAGCAAGTCTCTCTGTCTCTCAGCCTGGGCGACAGAGCGAGACAGACTCTCTCTCTCTCTCTCTCTCTCTCTCTCACACACACACACACACACACACACACACACAGAAGTTACCTTGTCCTTCCATTGCCCATCACCCCTTGTGAATGTAAGCTTATGACAGCAAGAATTTTGTCACCAGCTCACCAAGTCTTAAAACAGGACCTGACACACGTGGTAGGTGTTTCATGTGAATTATTTATCACACTGTGAAGTAGGTGTATCTCCATTTTGCAAATAAGGAAATTGAACACAGGTTAAATTAACTTGCCAGAAATTCCACAACCGTTAAGTGGCAGAGCTGGACACAGGTTTGTGTGTCCTGTTCACAAATGCGTGCATCTCTGGCTGGGAACTTGCAGGGTTATGGATCAGACTGCTCCACCTTGAGAAGTGGAAATGGCATCTTGGTTGTACATTGCAGCTCAAACCAGGAAGCATTTACTAAAACAAAAACTTAACAGAAACTGGCAAGCAAGTGCATAGGCGTTGCTATAGATGGTTTCTGTGAAATTCCATTAGGTGAGTTCCATAAAGGGAAGTGAAACAATAGATCACAGCTGTAGCTTCAAAATAAAAAGTTGGTTCCTAAATTGAGTGAATTGTAATCTTAACTATTTTCTCCTTAAACGCATAATGACAAAGTTACCAAATTCCCAGTGGAAACAACTCCGTAACATATCACAGGCACACAAAGCTGCCACACGAACCCCGTGAGGAAAGAGACCAAAGGAAAACTATTTGTTCAAGCTCCCTTTGAGTAGTGCCTCACGTCAGGAGACTAGCTGTGTCTTTAAGAATTTGTAAAAGGAGGCTGGGCACAGTTGCTCATACTTGTAATCCCAGCACTTTGGGAGGCCAAGGCAGGTGGATCACCTGAGGTTAGGAGTTTGAGACCAGCCTGGCCAACATGGTGAAACCCCGTCTCTACTAAATATGCAAAAATTAGCCAGGCATGGTGGTGGGCGCCTATAGTCCCAGCTGCTTGGGAGGCTGAGGCAGGAAAATTGTTTGAACTCAGGAGGTGGAGGTTGTAGTGAGCCGAGAGTGTGCCACTTCACTTCACCCTGGGTGACAGAGTGAGACTCCGTCTCCAAAAAAAAAAAAAACAGAAGAGAATTTGTAAAAGTTGGCTGGGCACAGTGGCTCACGCCTGTAATCCCAGCACTTTGGAGGCCAAGGCGGGAGGATGACTTGAGCCCAAGATTTTGAGACCAGCCTGGTTGACAGAGTGAGACCCCCATCTGTGTTTTAAATTATATGTATGTGTTTTTAAAAAAGAATTTGTAAAAGTATACTTCTATGGTTTTTTTTGTTTGTTTGTATGTTTGTTTCTTTTTTGAGATGGAGTCTTGCTCTGTCACCCAGGCTGGAGTGCAGTGGCACAGTCTTGGCTCACTGCAACCTCCGCCTCCCAGGTTCAAGCAATTCTTCTGCCTCAGCCTCCCGAGTAGCTGGGACTGCAGGCAGGTGCCACTACCCCTGGCTAATTTTTGTGGCTTTTTTTTTTTGAGACGGAGTCTCGCTCTGTCACCCAGGCTGGAGTGCAGTGGCACGATCTCGGCTCACTGCAAGCTCTGCCTCCAGGGTTCCGGCCATTCTCCTGCCTCAGCCTCCTGAGTAGCTGGGACTACAGGCGCCAGCCACCACGCCCAGCTAATTTTTTATATTTTTAGTAGAGACGGGGTTTCACCGTGTTAGGCAGGCTGGTCTCGATCTCCTGACCTCGTGATCCACCCGCCTCACCCTCCCAAAGTGCTGGGATTACAGGCGTGAGCCACCGCGCCCGGCCCACTTCTATGTTTTTTGAGTCAGAGCCTCGCCCTGTTGCCGAGGCTGGAGTGGAGTGCTGTGGCGCCATCTCAGCTCACTGCAACCCCCGCTTCCCAGGTTCAAGGGATTCTTGTTCCTCAGCCACCCAAGTAGCTGTGATTACAGTCACATGCCCCCATGCCCAGCTAATTTTTTTTTGAATTTTTAGTAGAGACAGGGTCTCGCCGAGCTGCCCAGGCTGGTCTCGAACTCATGGCCTCAGGTGATTCTCCCAACTCGGCCTCCCAAAGTGCTGGGATTACAGGTGTGAACCACCACGCCCAGTTCTAAGTTTCTCATAAGGAGAATAAATAGTTACTCGTGTCTGTGGTTTTTTTGGTTTCATAATTTTAAATCTGTAGTATTTCTCCTCTGCAAGAGTTCCCTAAATGATGCGAAAACATTTTAAAGCATACCTGGTTATCCTCAGGCTCCCTTGATGCCCGTCCGATGAGTGTGTTTTGCTGCCCTCTGCCGCTCATGGGCGGTACAGCAGTGACTGAACAACCCATTCCCGGGTCTGCCCCTTGGTATTGCCAGAAAGCTGGAGAAGCCTGGGAAGAAGACAAGACTGTTAGGAATCATTCTCTCCTAAAGCAAACCCCCTACTCCAACCAGCCTAACAGCCTGTGCTCCACCCCTACCCCAGAATTAAAATGAAAATGAAAAATGCTGCTTTTGCTAAGACATCAGTGAAATAATCTCGGATTTTTTAAGTAATTTGAATGGTTTGTGTTGGTAGAAAGATGAATGCTGTGAGACAAGCCCGTGGGTCATCTGTAGAGCTGCCTGACCACGCCCAACATGTGCTGCAGCTTGCCTCCCAAAGGAGCAGTCTTTGAGGACAGACAAAGCTGGCCACCTGTCGACTTTGCCACTGTCATGTCCATATACGTATACACACAGGATGACTTCAGATGAACAAATCAAATATTTTCAGTTGCTGGACAGTCAGTAGTATAGTATGATGGTTAATAGCTGTTGGAGGCCAGGCACGGTAGCTCCAACAGTAATCCTAGCCTGTAATCCCAGCACTTTGGGAGGCCGAGGCAGGAGGATCACTTGAGGCGAGGAGTTCGAGACCAGCCTGGGCAATATAGTAAGACCCCATCTCTACAAAAAAATTTAAAATTAGTTTTTTATGTATTAAAAAAATAGCTGTTGGAATTAGCCCTTGTTTGAATCAAAACTTACCCACTCAGTGGCTAGATTACCTTGGGCAAGTCACTTGTCTCAGCCTGTCTCTTCATATACAAAATGGGGATAATAGTAACTACAGTTATTAGTTACCCTAGGAATATTAATAAAGTCCTTGCTGTATGTCAAGGGTTTTACTTTTTAAAGGTTCTGCATGTTAAGAAAAAGCTGATCCCAATGCCTGGCACAGAGTAGCCTTCAAATTTTCACCACTAAGAATATTTATTTCTTCATTACATAAGCCATGTTTATTTGTCAGCCAACTGAAAACCACTATCAGCAACTTATTCCTCCCTGTGAACTTCTGGTAGCGGCCTCTCATCTACTTAATGTTCGAGTTGGAAAGAATCTTAAGAGTCATCTAGTCCAGCTCTTTACCCAATGCAGGACCCTCTTCTCTAACCACCTGTATGAACACCTCTACCTGGCCAGGTGGCCTGTCTTTGGACAGCTCAAATACTAGTTCCTCCTTGAACCCAAATCAACTTCCCTGTTGATGTCCTAGTTCTGCTCTGCAGATCTTCTTAGAAAAAAAAAATCTGCCTTCTGTCCCTTACAACAGCCCTTGATGTGTTTGAAGAGAGCTATCACTTCTTTCTTTGTGAACAATCATGTTATCCAGGCCAAGGTCAAATGTCCTGCAGCCTACATGGGTGTTTTAAAGACTATATTCCGGGCCGGGCGCAGTGGCTCTTAATCCCAGCACTTCGGGAGGCCGAGGCGGGCAGATCATGAGGTCAGGAGTTTGAGACCAGCCTGGCCAACATGGTGAAACCCCGTCTGTACTAAAAATACAAAAATTAGCTGGGCATGGTGGCACGTGCCTGTAATCTCAGCTACTCAGGAGCCTGAAGAAGGAGAATTGCTTGAACCTGGGAGGCGGAGGTTGCAGTGAGCCAAGATTGAGCCACTGCACTCCAGCCTGGGCGACAGAGCGAGACTCTGTCTTAAAAAAAAATATATATATATATTATATATATATAATATATATTATATATATATTATATATATATATATAATATATATTATATATATATATATTATATATAATATATATATAATATATATATTTCCATAGAGCAATTTTGTTTTCAAGGAAACACTGCCTTTATTAAGATAATTGTCTGGCTCCTTGAAACCTTACAGATTCTATTGAATTATGTAAATTAAAGGGTCCAAGTGATGACCTGAGATAAAAGATGGAAATGATGGCCATTAGCTCTCTCCCTCCAAAACACGTTACTTCAGCAATTCCTTCCTGCTCTGTGGCACTTGCAAAGTGCCCCGAGACTGGGGGTAAAGGGTGGGGCTTCCTTGAAGTGCAAGGTTCAGGATGCCATCCCCAGGGAGGCTCTGACACTGGGCTGGGGCCCAGGAGTCTGTATTTTAACAAGTGCTGCTGGTTTTCCCACAAGCGTGCTGCACACCGTTACCCAGGGCAAGCTGTGGCTGACAGCCACGACGTCCCTAAGCAGCCATGTGGCAGGCTGGCACCAGCACGCCGAGGGCGGGGGGAGCCTGTGTCTGATGAGGCTCCTGCTGCCCAGCCGTGTTCCGTGACCCCTTCCTGATACTTCTCACCCTTTGTTTCATAGCTGCAAGGTCACCTGAAATGGGTGGGGGCTGCTGCCCCTTACTGAGCACTTAGCTCTGACCTGGGACCCTCAAAGCATTTGACTTGTGTTCACTCATCCCGTTCTCTATCTGAGAGCATTTGACTTGTGTTCACTCATCCCGTTCTCTGAGAGCATTTGACTTGTGTTCACTCATACCGTTCTCTATCTGAGAGCATCTGACTTGTGTTCACTCATACCGTTCTCTATCTGAGAGCATCTGACTTGTGTTCACTCATCCCGTTCTCTATCTGAGAGCATCTGACTTGTGTTCACTCATACCATTCTCTACCTGAGAGCATCTGACTTGTGTTCACTCATACCGTTCTCTGAGAGCATCTGACTTGTGTTCACTCATACCGTTCTCTGAGAGCATCTGACTTGTGTTCACTCATACCGTTCTCTATCTGAGAGCATCTGACTTGTGTTCACTCATACCGTTCTCTATCTGAGAGCATCTGACTTGTGTTCACTCATACCGTTCTCTATCTGAGAGCATCTGACTTGTGTTCACTCATACCGTTCTCTATCTGAGAGCATCTGACTTGTGTTCACTCATACCATTCTCTACCTGAGAGCATCTGACTTGTGTTCACTCATACCGTTCTCTGAGAGCATCTGACTTGTGTTCACTCATACCGTTCTCTACCTGAGAGCATCTGACTTGTGTTCACTCATACCGTTCTCTACCTGAGAGCATCTGACTTGTGTTCACTCATACCGTTCTCTACCTGAGAGCATCTGACTTGTGTTCACTCATACCGTTCTCTACCTGAGAGCATCTGACTTGTGTTCACTCATCCCGTTCTCTACCTGAGAGCATCTGACTTGTGTTCACTCATACCGTTCTCTATCTGAGAGCATCTGACTTGTGTTCACTCATCCCGTTCTCTATCTGAGAGCATCTGACTTGTGTTCACTCATCCCGTTCTCTATCTGAGAGCATCTGACTTGTGTTCACTCATACCGTTCTCTGAGAGCATCTGACTTGTGTTCACTCATACCGTTCTCTATCTGAGAGCATCTGACTTGTGTTCACTCATACCGTTCTCTATCTGAGAGCATCTGACTTGTCTTCACTCATACCGTTCTCTGAGAGCATCTGACTTGTCTTCACTCATACCGTTCTCTATCTGAGAGCATCTGACTTGTCTTCACTCATCCCGTTCTCTATCTGAGAGCATCTGACTTGTGTTCACTCATCCCGTTCTCTGAGAGCATTTGACTTGTGTTCACTCATACCGTTCTCTATCTGAGAGCATTTGACTTGTGTTCACTCATCCCGTTCTCTATCTGAGAGCATTTGACTTGTGTTCACTCATCCCGTTCTCTGAGAGCATCTGACTTGTGTTCACTCATACCGTTCTCTATCTGAGAGCATCTGACTTGTGTTCACTCATACCATTCTCTATCTGAGAGCATCTGACTTGTGTTCACTCATACCGTTCTCTATCTGAGAGCATCTGACTTGTGTTCACTCATCCCGTTCTCTACCTGAGAGCATCTGACTTGTGTTCACTCATACCGTTCTCTACCTGAGAGCATCTGACTTGTGTTCACTCATCCCGTTCTCTATCTGAGAGCATCTGACTTGTGTTCACTCATACCGTTCTCTGAGAGCATCTGACTTGTGTTCACTCATCCCGTTCTCTATCTGAGAGCATCTGACTTGTGTTCACTCATACCGTTCTCTGAGAGCATCTGACTTGTGTTCACTCATACCGTTCTCTATCTGAGAGCATCTGACTTGTGTTCACTCATACCGTTCTCTATCTGAGAGCATCTGACTTGTGTTCACTCATCCCGTTCTCTATCTGAGAGCATCTGACTTGTCTTCACTCATACCGTTCTCTATCTGAGACAGGTTATGATATCACCATTTTAGAGCTGAGCAAATTGAGGTATAGAACGGTAAGGCTGCCCAGCTAGTGAGAAAGGTAGCCAGGATCTGGAGGTGGGTAGGCTGGCCCCAGGAGTGCCCCCACTCTCTCCAGCGAACGGTAGACCCAGCCAAACACCCGTATCCCAGAGGCACCTGGAACTCCATATGGGGATTGATCATTTTCCTTCCCTAAACCACTTTTCTTTTTTTTTCTGGAGACAGAGTTTTGCTCTTGTTGCCCAGGCTGGAGTGCAGTGGTGCGATCTTGGCTCACCAAAACCTCCACCTCCCGGGTTCAAGCGATTCTCCCGCCTCAGCCTCCCGAGTAGCTGGGATTACAGGCATGCACCACTATGCCTGGCTAATTTTTTATGTTTTCAGTAAAGACAGGGTTTCTCCATGTTGGTCAGGCTGGTCTCGAATTCCCGACCTCAGGTGATCCACCCGCCACAGACTCCCAAAGTGTTGGGATTACAGGCGTGAGACACCGCGCCCAGCCCCAAACCACTTTTTCCTGCAGTTTTTCCTGTCTCGGTTGGTGCCATCGCTTCCAGAAGAAACTCCCTTTGTGCAGACCCCCTCCATCCTCCTGCCTCTTAACAGTCTTTTATATCCAGCTCTTCGGCGGCCCTGCCCTGCTCTGGGCCTTAGGAATGTGTGGCAACTCTTGGTTCCCGTGTGCTGCCCCGTGTGGGCGTGGTGCCCGCCTTTGGCTGCAGTGCTGTGAGAGCCCTGCCCCACTCTCCCAGCTGCCAGTCTGGTCCCCTTCCAGCCCACCACCTGAGCTGCTTCTGTGGTCATTGTCAAATAGCATTCTGACCCTGTTGCTCTCTCCTGCTGGAAACCTTCTAAAGGTTCCCCACAACCATCAGGACAAAGTTCTCCACCATTAGCCTCTGCCTGCCCTTTGGCCCTTCTGTCTCACTGGTCCTGCTGTGAATTTGTACTCCAGCCCAGCAGCTCATTCCCTGTGCACACCACACTGGTGCCACCTCCTGCCTGCACAGGCTGCCCTCTCTCCCAGACTCTCTGCCACCTTCAAACTTACACAAAAGTTACAAAATAGTATAAAGAAATTCCCTGTGCCCTTCACCTTCACCCAGATCGTGGTTAGCATTTCACCATATACAAATGCACACACCCACCATATGTATATTTTTCTGAGCTCTCTGGGAGTGAATTGCAGATATGCTATTTCCCCTTCCCCCAAATCCACCAGTGTTTACCTCCTAAGAACAAACATTCTTTTTTTTTTTTTTTTTCAGAGACAGTTTTGCTCTTGTTGTCCAGGCTGGAGTGCAGTGGCGTGATCTCGGCTCACCGCAACCTCCGCCTCCCAGGTTCAAGCAATTCTCCTGCCTCAGCCTCCCGTAGCTGGGATTACAGGCATGCGCCATCACACCCGGCTAATTTTGTACTTTTAGTAGACATGGGATTTCTCCATGTTGGTCAGGCTGGTCTCAAACTCCCGACCTCAGGTGATCCACCCGCCTCGGCCTCCCAAAATGCTGGGATTACAGGCGTGAGCCACCGTACCCGGCCCAAACATTCTCTTACATAACTAAACTACAGTTATAAAAGTCAGGAAATTTAACATTTTTGTAATGGTTTCTAAACTACAGGCTGTGCTCAGATTTCACTAATTGTCTCAGCAATCCTCTTGATGGCTATTTTTTTTCCTGGTTTGGGATCACGCAGTATGTTTAGTTGTCATGTCTTGGTTTCCTTTGTTCTGGAACAGCCTCTCTTTCAGCGTCCCTGGCATTTTTAAAGAGCGCAGGCTAGTTGTTTTGCAGAGAGTACCCCAGGGAGAGTTTGTGTGATCCTTCCTCTGGATTAGATTCAGATTCTGCCTTTTTGGCAAGAACAGCCCTGCAGCAATGCTCTGGCCTTCCCAGCTCAGCATCTCAAGGACCACATGGTGCTGCTGGGTTGGCCCCGTTACTGGTGATGTGGATACTGATGACTTGGGAATGGTGGGGTCTTATTTATTTTTTACAACCTCCGTATTCATGACCCCTCTTCTAAGAAAGCTTGCATAGACCCCTCCAGGCACCCACAGTTAGGGTAGGTGTCTGTTCCCTCACCTGAGTCCTGGGTACAGTGCCTCACCTGCACTGACCAAGCCATCTTGGTGTGTGTCTCTTCCCCCGCTTGACTGCAAGGCTCAGGGGACCTCATCTTGCTCATGATGGTGCCCCAGCTCCTATGGGCCTGGCACATAGTAGGCACTTAATATATTAAGATTTCTTGAGTGAATGAAAGAATGAGTGAGATTTCGGAGCTGATTGAGTTACAAAGCAGAAACCTCCAAATCTCTCCAGATAGGTCTTTGTGTGCAGTTTTCACTGCTTTACTCGTGAAGCATGGCTAAATGTTGGGGTTTCTTTTTATGCCAGATTCTCACTGAAAGCATGAAACTCTGATCAAATCCCAAGAAAAAAGCATGATATTTATCCTTCCTTTGGGGAATCACAGAATGGACCAGTTTTAGAAACTTGGAACCCCATCCTAGATTTTTCCATGTGTTTCTTCATGGGAGGGTGGATGGGTGTGAGGGGAGAGTCTCTGGGTCTTTGATTGTGGGAACTATTTGGCCTGGACAGAGCAGCAGAGAGTCTTGGGCCCCCCGCCCTGCTGCCTCTGTCCAGCCACACACTTCATGCACCAGTAGGGAAGTGCCTGGCGGGGCGTCTGGAAGCCTCTCAGGAGGTCACTGTCTCCCTTTGCTCTTTCAGACGCAGGAGGAGGGAGACGCACTGATGACATCGGGCCGCTCCTGCAGCTCGGGCGCCTCGCAGTCTCCAGGTGCAAGGCCAGCGCTTCCGCCGTGGCTGCTTCAGGACATCCCCCAGCACAGCCGTTCCTGGAGACCCGGCCATCTTTTCTGCATCGTTTTGCAATTTGTGAAACTTAGGACAGCAGCCGCCTGTTCAACCGGGCCCTCCGCCGGATGGCTCTGGGAAGTCACCGCTGGGCATGGCTGTGTCACTAGGGCTTTGTGGCTGATGAATAACAGCTGTCGTGTGCTGTTTCTGGGTGGAGATGTCCCAGGAAACCAGTCCTACTCTGCCAGCCAGTAGGATGGGGATGCAGGTCCCGCCAGCAAGGACTGGCTGAACCGTGCGACCCATGCAGTAGGGCCCTTGGGTCAGCTGTCCCCACCCACTACACTGATGGTGAATGAGGCCAGAAGACAGGGGGCTCTGCGTGAAGCCCACCAGCCCCTGCCACGTGATGGTTGGAACGCGTACCTTAGAGCTTCCAGTTCCGTCTTAGGACATTTTCAAAGATGAGCGTCCTCAGGAGGGGCGGTGGAGGGGGCATGTCTGGAGGGACCTGAGGCACGGGGAGCGCTCGGTGCCCAGGCCGAGCAGTGCCACACGTGCGCACGAGTTATGCCTGCAAACACGGGTTACGCCTGTGAGACCAGTGGGCTCCTTCCAGCCGGGCTGCCTGAGGCCACTGTCTGTGTGTTGGTGCCCATTGTGGGCTCCGGGGCGCTCTTCCCTTGTGCTGACGTGAGTGGAGTTGAATTGCCCTGAATCAGATTAGACTGAAATAAACTGAATTGAAAGGCCTACAAATAAGTATGAATCTCTTGCTGAGTGCCAGGCTCTGGGGAGTCACAGCTGAGTAAGACAGCCGCTGCCTGTCTTCACACTAGCCGGGCCCATAACTAATATTATGGACTTGCAGCAAGAACATATTGGGGGTGGTGGGTGGGAGTGGGGAGGGGGGCGAGAGGCTTCAGGAGGAGGAGATCTTTGAGCTGAGCCTTTGAGAATGGGAGTGGGGATTTTGGAAAAAGGTGAAGGTAAGAAGGACACAGGGGACCTGGGAGGCAACAGGAGCAGAGGTGCGCTGCATCTGAGGCGAACACAGGAGAGGGCGGAGACGCAGTGCTCACTTGCCACCTGACAGAGGCACACACGTGCACACAGAGTCACAGGCAGAGAGAGGCATCGCACACTCAGCCTGTGAGCCACACGCATCAGAACCACCCAGAACACACACACATACCTACTCCAGCAGAATCTCAGGGAGCCGACCCAGGAAGCTGCATTTTAAAACAAGCTCTACATGGGAATTCAGAGATTGACAGTGTGTGTGTTGGGGGCGGGTGGTAAGCCTCTGTCAGCCAGCGGGGGTGCGGGGGCATTCAGTGATTTGCAGGCTGGGCCTGCCAGGATTTGCCCCTGGCACATGAGTAATTGTTGCACTTCACCACACAGCACAGTTGCCTGCAGGACTTGTCCACACACAGACTGCTGGGCTCCACCCCCGAAATTCTGAGTCAGTCGGCCTGGAATTGGGCCCAGAATTGCTTGCTGATCAGTTCCCTGATGGGTGATGCTGGTACAGGGGCCTCTGAGAAAAAGATGGATTGGAGAGAGATGAGGCATCAGCCAGACTGAAGGAAGCCCTCACTGGCTCTCCTGAGACTGAGGTGCCGGGACAGTCGCAATATTTGCAGCACTTTGATTTGACCAGATGTGCCTTTCTCTTCTGTGTGCCCATCCTTGGTTTCAAGCCCGGCCTGTGACAGTAGTATGGTATTCTGGACATATGACAGACACCCAGTGCCCCGATCTGAAGATGGGTGAGCCTGGGTCACGCCGCCCAGTGGTCCCCGCCAGGGTCCCTTGCTCAGGGTGATGCCATCTCCTAAGCGGTGCAGCAGAGACCTGTGGCTCTGAGGCCACTTAGGAGCATTTCTGGGCATCCATGCAGTGCCTTGATTCCAGCACCCAGAAATGCTTCCAGTGTTACCAAGGTCACAGGTGGAAACCCCAGATGTCCCTTGGAAGGCTGTGCTGCCATCACCCGTGGGGCTTGGTCACGTCCTGGATCTAGGGGTGATCATTTATCAGCAGGCTACACAGGATTGGAAGAAGGGCCCCTGGGAATGATAAGTCTGTTCCCAGTAGGAACCCAATGTACCACCAGCAAGGAGCTCAGCACTGTGCTCAAGCCCAAAGGCACAACCAGCTTCCAAATCCCATCTTTGCAGGTCTATGGCTGGGACTACTCATGGTACCAATGCTGTACCAAGCAAGAGAGGAAACCACATATTAATTTGAATGGGGGAAGTTTGACATAACTGTAACAGGTTTAGAGTAGTGAGGGGTTGGCTAGTAAGAAGTCAACTCCAATCATCTAGGAAGAGCAGCTATAAGAAACAGCCTCTCAGCTGAGATCCTGCCACTGCACTTCAGTCTCTGGGCGACAGAGCAAGACTCTGTCTCAAAAAAAAAAAAAAAAAGAAACAGCCTCTCATCCAACCGCTCCTCCACCCCACCTCGAGCCCTCATTTGAGAGAGCACTGCCCCGACTCACCGAAGGGCTGAGAAGTTGCTGTTGGTGCCAAAGCAGTGGGAGTTGCTGGATATCCAGCTCTGGGGGGGGCCAGAGTTAAACTGTTCCTGTAAGAGAAGTGCCTTCCTGGAGGAAGTCAGCCACAAACTGCTTGAAGAGGTTGGAGGAAGCTGCTGGCTGCTGGGTGCTGCTGACCACCACGCACTGCAGGAGCCTGGTGCTGGAGGGTCCATGAGCATGGCAGGAGTCAGCCAAGTGGACACATAGCACAGGAAGAAAAACCTTCTGGCCGTGTCCTATCACTTCTCTCTCTGACAAAACCTAACACCATGTCAGCACACAAAGGAAACATGTCTAAAGGGGCCAGATCCATTTTCTCAAAGCAGGCAATGAAGGATGAACTTGGAGCTGTGTGGCACTAAATTGATAAGGGGCACAGTTCCCAAAGATTGTCTGGTCCTTGACAGTAGAGTCCAGGGTGTGGGAACTTGGCAAACCTATTATTTGATCGGAGGAGCAGGAGAATTGGAAGGGGCCTCAAGAGCTCCTCTGTCCAGCCTCTCACCACTCCCAATACAATACCAATCCTCTTACCAAGGCCACACAGCTCGGAGGGGTGGGAGAGAGGGACTGTACCACCTTGTTCTCCTTGCCCTCACACTCTGTCCTTCATAGGCTTCTTGCCATTAGATTGAACAGATAAACTGGTAGCATCCATTTTACAGATAGGCACCCAGAGCTGAGAAACCCCCTTTAGACGAATAAATATTCCCAATCAAAGAGAACTCAAGACACCCTATCTAGTTCTAGGACAGAGGAATTTCCTGACTTTCCCAAAAAAAACTCCATAACTTTTCTTGTTTCTCTGAATTCCATAAAGATATTTTAATGAAATGTGGGGACCACACTGGGCACAGTGGCTCAAGCCTGTTATCCCAGCACTTTGGGAGGCTGAGGTGGGCAAATCGCTTGGGATCAGGAGTTCAAGACCAGCATGGCCAACATTGTGAAACCCCGTCTCTACTACAAATACAAAAATTAGCCAGGCATGGTGGCGGGCGCCCATAATCCCAGCTACTCGGGAGGCTGAGGCACTAGAATCATGTGAACCTGGGAAGTGGAGGTTGCAGAGAGTCGAGATTGCACCACTGCACTTCAGCCTGGATGACAGAGCGAGACTCAGTCTCAAACAAAAAAAGAAAGAAAGAAATGTGAGGACCAGCCAGCGTGATTAAAGCAGTGCTTTCCATACCTGGTATGGTATTGTAGGAGCCCAGTGAAGATTTGTGGATTTGATTTATAACTTGCCCAGCACAGGCCTTGGACCTTGGACCTTGGGTCATGCGTTCTCCCGTGAGCAGTAAGAGAAGGGTTGTCATTGCGATGGTTGTGTCGGTCCCTAATGCTGATGGAGAGTGTCCTGTGTGCTGTGCCCGCAGCATCTCATGAGACTCCATAATGAAAAAGCCCTGTCATCATCCACTTGTCTGTCAGCTGTATCAGGAACATGCAGAAAATCCACCAGGGCAGTGCACTAGTCAGGGCTGGATGCCACAGCAAAGCCCTCTGTCTGGGGGGCTTACACAGTAGAGACAGATTTCCTCACTGTCCGAGGAGCTGGAAGCCCGAGAGGAAGGCTTCGACAGGGTTGGTTTCCCCCAGGCCTCGCCTTGGTTTGCAGCCGTCTCCTCCTGCCGCGTCCTCTGAGTCTGTGTTACAAGCTCCTCTTATAAGGACACTCGTCAGATTGAATTAGGACCTACCCTGATGGCCTCACTGAAACTGAATTACCTTTGTAAGGGCCCTATCTCAGATACAGTCCCATTCTGAGGTAGTGGGGGCTTCACCGTATGGTTTTGGCGAGACTTAGCTCAGCGTAGAGCAAGCAGTATTTCCTACAGACTTGGCTATCTATGTGGATAAGGGCTTTGCATACTACTTAAGAGTTACCATCTGAAGTTGAAGCTGCCCTTCCTTACCTCGTGATCTAGTTAACTTCATCTTCAGACAAACATGTAACACCTGCAACCCCCAAGCTCTTGAAAATACTTGAAGCCCCATCCCCTTCAGTTTGTATAATTCTAAGCAGGTTCTTAGAATTAGAAAAGCTTCTAAGCCTCTCTCTAGTATCAATAAAAAATAAAACCTGAGCTCCGGTCCCAGAATCCTCCGGCCTTCCCGGCATGTGGTGTGATGATGGTGTATACCAGGATCTTGTTCAACAACTCTGGGACACAAAGGGGACCCATGACTTTCACAGGCAAGCATTCCTGTGGTGGGCAGCAGGGTGGAGGAATATTGCGAGTTTACGGCCCACTCCCCCGGCTCAGGTGGGCAGCAATACCAAGACAGGCCAACAAGGGCATCGCCTCGTGGGGCCCCGCGCCCTGAAGTGCCCTTTTTGCCCAGATCCAGGACACCCCACGGCCTCTTAGAAAAGGAAACGTTTGGGCCAGGCAAGGTGGCTCACGCCTGTAATCCCAGCACTTTGGAAGGCCGAGGCTGGTGGATCACCTGAGGTCAGGAGTTCGAGACCAGCCTAGCTAACATGACGAAACTCCATCTCTACTAAAAATAACCAAAATTAGCCAGGCGTAGTGGCAGGCGCCTGTAATCCCAGCAACTTGGGAGGCTGAGGCAGGAGAATCACTTGAACCCAGGAGGCAGAGGTTGCAGTAAGCTGAGATTGTACCATTGCACTCCAGCCTGGGCAACAAGAACGACACTCCATCTCAAAAAAAAAAAAAAAAAAAAAAAAAAAGAAAGAAAAAGAAAAAAGAAAGGAAGAAAAAAAGAAAAGGAAACATTTGGCTGAGCGCGGTGGCTCACGCCTGTATTCCCAGGACTTTGGGAGGCTGAGGCAGGTGGATCACCTGAGGTCAGGAGTTGAGACCAGCCTGACCAACATGGAGAAACCCCATCTCTACTAAAAAGCTGGGCGTGGTGGTGCATGCCTGTAATCCCAGCTACTCGGGAGACTGAGGCAGGAGATCCCTTGAACCCGGGAGGCGGAGGTTGTGGTGAGCCGAGATGGCGCCACTGCACTCCAGCCTGGGCAACAAGAGTGAAACTCAGTCTCAAAAAAAAAAAAAAAAGGGAAGAAAAGAAAAGGAAACGTTTGTGCCTGCAGATGACAATTGTGCATATTATGTGGAAATATTTAGACAGGTCAATTTAGGGACACTATGAATCCTTCCCTCTATAATCAGATGTAAAATTAAGGCTATTCTTTTCCCAGCACTATAAAATGACTACGGTTGACATTGTTTGAGCCACCTCTTTTGAGAGTGTTGCATTGTCCCCACATGTCCCTGGGTATAGAAGACTGAGGGTCTATCTCAGTGTAGCCCTTAGGTTCTGAGGGAGGCTTGGGGGCTATCGCTTTAGGGGCTCGACTCATCTGCAGCTCTGTAGGCACTGTGTGTTCTGGGCAGTGGGCATTTTAAACCCATATGGGAGATGAAGATGACTGAGGCCCAGGGCTGCTGGATCGCACACAGAGAGTGAGGTGAGGGCTTGGACTGGGGCCGTTTGGCTCCAAATCCCATAAGCTGACCACACTATCGCACTCCCAGGGTACCCTTAGATCAGCCAGTCCCAGCCCTCCTTGCACATTAGAAAGCTCTCGGGAGCCAGGCCGGGCCCGTTGGCTCACGCCTGTAATCCCGGCACTTTGGAAGGCTGAGGCGGGTGGATCACTTGAGCTCAAGAGTTCAAGACCAGCCTGGCCAACATGGTGAAACCCCATCTCTACTAAAATTACAAAAAATTAGCTGGGTGTGGCGGCGGGTGCTTGTAATCTCAGCTACTCGGAAGGCTGAGGCAGGAGAATCGCTTGAACCCAGGAGGCGGAGGTTGCAGTGAGCTGAGATCATGCCATTGCACTCCAGCCCGGGCAACAGAACAAAAACTCCATTTCAAAAAAAAAGAGACATAGACTGAATAGCTAAAAGGTATTTGGTGCTGGGATAAGTTTTGGATGGTACACAAAAAAGAATAATTGCCTCCATCCTATCCTTCGGGATCTGAAAATCTAGCTGTGGAGACAGCTCAGCTTATTTTTAAAAAGGCAAATGTGCTCCAATGTATCGTAGGAACCAAGCGAGTGAACACCAGAGAGCTGGGGTAGTCACAGGGGGCCTCAAGGAGGTGGTGAGACTGAAGCAGCAGAACAGGATTTGGAAGAAGGATTTAGGATTTGGAGGGCTTTTTAGGGGAGGGCCAAAGAGAGGACAGGTGTGCCCAGGCATGCCCCGGGGGTGTGAGGGCAGCTGGATCCCAGGGTGTCTGAGAGTGGTCACCTGAGGGCATGCTCATTGGTGGGTGTGGCCATCACAGGACATGGCTACAAGGGGCGTGACTATCAAAAGCAGAGCCATTCAAGGTCGTGCCCATCTGTCGGCGAGGTCACCAGGGCCGTCTGTGGGCGTGGTCACCACAGGGCGTGGCTGCAAAGGGTGACAGATGGTGGTCATGGTCGGATGAGTTGGGAGGCAGAGGGTGGGCTTGGGCCTGTTTGGGAAGCAGAGCTTGGATGTCATTCTCCAAGCCTCAGAGGCCATTGGAGGTGTTGGGCAGGGAGGGTGCATGGACAAAGAGGTGCTTGAGGAACAGTGATCAGATATGTGCCAGCTTCAGCTGTCCTAGCGTCCCCATCCCTAGGTAGGCACTGGGAAGAAGAAAGGCGTCTGGAAGTCCCATCCAAATCCCCCCGCCGCCCCCACCTCGCCTCTCTGGCTTCACTGTGAAGCGGGTCAACTTTTTCCAAGGGCAGGAGAATGTGGTTCCCTGTTGCTTGAGGGGCTCTGCAGGCCGAAGGTAAGAAGTGCTTCTGCCCCTGCGGAAACCGGGTCAAGCTGGCCCGGCACCCTCATCCCTTTTCTACCTGAAGCAGAACTGCGGGTGGAGCCCGCACCGCAAACGCACGGCCTGTCTCTGGTGAAAAGAGCTGTCTTTGGGACCTTCCTCGCTGGGCTGTTCCAGCACTCAAGTCTCAGCGCTGCCATGTGACGCCCACGCCCCCTTCCCCTGTCGCGGGATCGACCCCTCTGGAGCTGCCGAGCGGCTGTCTCACCGCCATCTTCCCTTCTCTGGAAACATCCAAATCCCCACCCACTGCCCCAGGCCAGGCCAATCAGATGCGCTGGCCTGGAAATTCCACAGGCAGCAGGGAGAGCCCCAGAGTCCCCGGGCTGCGCTGCTGCAGAGGGCAGGGCCCGGACTCCGCGCTGCCGTCCTGTGTGTGGTTTTGCTTTGTTCCTTGTTTTTACCTTCTGTCAGCGCATCACCGGAGGCCTTTGGGTCGCCCCTCCTCCCTGGCCACTCCTCTCCCCCGGACCCAGCCCTCAGTCCCTCCCTGCCTCGCCCAGCCTGGCGCACTCAAGCACTTGCCCTGGTCGCTGTTCCTGGACACGCATGGACGCTAAAAGCCAGGCTTTCTCGCGCAGTCCGCATTTTATTTGCAAAGCGAAGCGGGTGCTGCATTGCGGTCATTCAGCCCTGCTGTCCCTTGGTCTCGGCAAGGGCTGCTCTGCCCTTCCACTGCTCTGGGTCCCAAACCAGCTCTGCCCACACCCTGCCCTTTGCCCATCGTCTCAGCCCAATGGCCTGTCTTCACCCTCACCTTCAGGGAACTGGGCTCCCTCTTTTTAGGCAACACTGTTCTCGCCCACTTCCTTTTCAAGCGTCTCACCCTCTGTCCTCTGACGCTTCTTCCCCAGCGTGTCTGTCTCTTTCCTAGGTCCCTAGGTCCTAGGTCTACCCCGGCCACCTTTCCTGATCTCATTCACTCCTACGGCTCCTCCCACAATAACCCCAACCTGGCTGTAGCTCTTACCCGACCCCTGGGCTCCAGACATCTCCACCTGGATGTCTGCAGTGGACCCACAAGTCTTTCTTCTCCTCCTGGAGGCAGCCCCCACATTCTCTTCTTGGGATCCTCCCCTTTTCTGTGCAGGAGGGGTGGGGATATTTGACTTGCCCACTGCTTCAAGAATGACGTGTGACCCAGAGGTGGGCACATGCCTCAGACCAGCCTGAAGTTCTGGTCTCTTGTTAGGATGAGCTGCTGTAGTCCCCAAGCTGGCTGCGCATAAGCTGAGCGACACTGCTGCCTGGCAGGTGCTCTCCCTGAGGAAGAAAGCAGAACCAGGAGATGGGACATGGTGGGCTCGAACATGAGCTTTGGTGGACGTGCATCTAACTAAAGTCACTTTCTGGACTTTTTGTCAATGTGGGCTAACCCATTCTCATTTTTGTAGAGGCTGATCTGAGTTATTTATTTATTTATTTATAGTAGAGATGGGGGTCTTACTTTGTTGCCCAGGGTAGTCTCGAACTCCTGGACTCAAGTCCTGCCTCTGTCTCTGCCTCCCAAAGTGTTGGGATTATAGGCATAAGTCAATGCACCCAGCCTCTGAGTTGAATTTTTGTCACTTGAAGACCTCTGATAGACACCTCCAACAAGAAGGAACCCATGATCTCTGTGTTCCATCAAACTGACTTCTCCACCTGGCTTCCCCGGCATCCTTCATGGCACCACCTCCCCCAATTTCCGGTGACAATGTTGAAAGCTTGAGTGCGCCCCCATTGCAATCTTCGTTAATCAAGTACTGCCAAATGCGATCTCTCCAGTGCTCCTCTCCTCCCCAGCCCACTTCAAACCCTCATTACCTTTTCTCTCTCTCCCCAACTCCTTTTTTTTTTTTTCTTTGAAAGGGCCTTGCTACATTGTCCAGGTTGGTCTCGAACTCCTGAGGTCAAGTGATCCTCCTGCCTCAGCCTCCCAAGTAGCTGGGATTACAGGTGCACACCACCACATCTGGCCCTCGTTACCTTCTGCCTAGACTGTTTGATGATTTCTCTGCTGGCTCCCCGTCTCACACTGTTGCTAGGACGTTTCTAGACCACAGTTCCGGTGCATTCACGGATGCCCTCAAGAACCTTCAACGGCTCCCACCTCCAGCAGGAAATGAACTCAAGTGTTCAGAGCTCTCCTGACTCCCTGACTCGCTCATGCGTCTATTCACGGTCTGCTGTGCGGCGTGTCAGCCAGTGGCCTGCCTCCCCTTCCAGCCGTAGCCCACACCACTCTGATGTGATGGGACACCCCGTGGCCAGCTTCCCTGTGCCCTGAGCTTCTTCCTGGCCCCGGGCCGGCGACGCTCCTCCACCCTGCTGCAACCTGCAGAAATCCTTCCAGGGGCCTCGTTCTATAAATTCTGTCTACATGTCCCCAAGCAGCAGTGCCCCCCACCTCCAAATGCCCTTGATGCTCTGGGCTTGCCACTCCATTTAACAGTGTCCTTCTCGGCTGTTTTCTCCGAAGCGGCTGGAGGGCAGAGTCTGTGTCTCATTTGCCTGAGATTTCCTCCCCTGCTGAGCTCAGGGCCTGCAAATATTTGCTGGGTAGACATGGATGGACAGCCTGACCAGGACGCCTCCTGCTCCCAGCACTGCCCCTCCCCGTCTGGGGTCCTCCTTCCGAGTCATCTGGATACGCCAGCAAGCCTAGATTCTCATCTGCCTGCCGGACTCCCCGGACTTTTTCAGAGATCATTGCAAAGCTCACCGCCATAAAGCCAATCTGCAAACACTTTTCTTGCTTCTTTTTTTAACCTCAATTAAACACACTAAAATACATAAATGAGTAAATAAATAAATAACAGGACAACTTGGTGTGGTGTAATTCAGGTTTGGTAAACAATGATGGTGTTCTCTTCTTACTCGCACCCCCTCCTCTGCCACCTCTCTCACGCTCTCCTGCTCTCTCCTGCCACCCTCCAGGTGCCCTCTCTGACCCCACCTCCCCTCCTGCCCTCACTCACAGTCAGGAAGGCTTCCCATTTCCTCCCGACTTCCCCAGTGGGACCCAAGTCCTTGGGAGTCAGGACAGAAGGTGACTTGGGTGGAGGCAGTGAGCTAGGAAAGAAAGGCAGCAGGTATGATCTGGGCCATTCGGAGGGCAGGGCAGGGGCAAGGAGGCTTGGCTGGCTGGGTGGTGCTCTGGGGCCCATCCACCCTGAACTGGGAGGAAGGGTGTTGCCCCCATCCAGTGAGCATGGGTGGCAGGGGCACTGAGCTGCAGAGGCCACCACCCCAGAGCCGCCAGAGCCACTCTTGACCAAGCACTGAGGACCAGCCTTGGCACAGGCCCTGGGTGGAGAAGTCCCAAGGACACCAAACCCACCGTTAGTGCTGGCTTGACTGAGCCTCCCTAGTGCTGATACCAGATAACAAGTGCAACTGTGTCCAGATCCGAGGGCAGCCGTGGGCGTGAGATTCATGGGAGGGCAGGGCCGCCAAAAACAGGAGTGGCTGGTTCAAAACACTGAACGGGGTCAGGGGCCATTGGTTAGGCCTTGGTATGGAAACAGAATTCTAGGTGGGGACAGACGGGGGCCCCACAGACAGGAGCGTGGAGCAGTGCCATGGGGTCAGCAGGGAGACCCGACAGGACCAAGGAGCTGAGGGAGGTGGGCAGGGTCAGCAGCAGGGCCGGCTTCCTGCAGTGGGACCCCTGCGAGGGCCTGTGCTTGGAGTTCAATGCTCCCAGGGCCCCATCTTGAAACTCTTTACGATACTATCTTTGAACTGAGATTCGTCAGTGAACTCTGATGGGACAATGGAGTGTGCACTGGCTGCCGGGAGCCCTGGCTCCTATGTGGTCCTGCCTCCCTCTCTCTCCTGCCTCCCTGGGACGGGCTCTTGGCCACTCAACCCCCTGCCCTTGCCTAGTGATTGCGGCCCCCTTGGCTCCTGGTGGAGGCCTGGGTGTGGAGGCAGAGAGGGTCGGGTGGATGTGAGATCTCAGGCACCTGTGGACACCTGCATGTAAGTATCCCAATGTCTAAGGTAATGTGGCCTTGGAGAGCCCATTGGCCGGGCACAGTGGCTCACGCTGTAATCCCAACACTTGGAAGGCCGCGGTGGGAGGATTGCTTGAGCCCAGGAATTTGAGACCAGCCTGGGCAACATGGCGAAACCCCATCCTACAAAACATACAAAAAAATTAGCCGGGTGTGGTGGTGTGCACCTTGGTCCTAGCTACTCGAGAAGCTGAGGCAGGAGGATCACTTGAGCCTGAGAGATTGAGGCTGCAGTGAGCTCAGATTGCGTCGCTACACTCCACCCTGGGCGACAGAGTGAGACCGTGTCTCTTAAAAAACAAAAAACAAAACAAAACAAAAACAAACACAAGATGGGCACAGTGGCTCATGTCTGTAATCTCAGCACTTTGGGAGACCAAGAGGGCAGATCACTTGAGGCAGCCAGAAGTTCGAGACCAGCCTGGGCAACATGGTAAAACCTTGTCTCTACTAAAAATACAAAAAAAATTAGCCAATTGTGGTGGCATATGCCTACAGTCCCAGCTACTCAGGAGGCTGAAGCACGAGAACTGCTTGAACCCAGGAGGTGGAGTTTGCAGTGAGCTGAGATTGTGCCATTGCACTCCAGCCCAGGCGACAGAGTGGGGCCCCACATTTTCATTTATCCATATGGATCCCAGCATTATGAGCCAGCCCTGACAAGTGCGTATCAGGAGACCAGGGACCCAAAGCTTCAGGGAGGTAAGCCAGGTGGAGGCAACTGCTCCTAGACTCAGTGCCAAGGTCGAGCCCAGCCACAGGTTCTTAGAAGTTCCCTTTTGGGGGGTAGGTGGTAAAGTTGGGTGGGAGCACCTGTGCCAATGTATGTAGAGGAGTGGCTGCAAAAGCAGGGAAAGAGGCCAGGCAGGAGGCTTGAAGGAAGTTTCCAGTACATATCCTAGATATCAGAGAGTTACCCCAGACCAAACAATGGCTCCATTGCAAACAATTTGCCTTGGTGTTAGCTTGAGGGGCAACTAGAGGTACAACTGAGGGGCAGGAATCTGGAACAGTCTTTAACAGAGCCCTGGTTTGCAAACTTTTCTGGGCTTTAGCAAATTCTCTAGGAATTTGCTAAAAATGTATATGGCTGGGTCCTCCCTCCTGAGATCCTGAATTAGTAGATCTGAAATGCAATTTTTTTTTTTTTTTTGAGACAGAGTCTCACTCTTGTCACCCAGGCTGGAATGCAGTGGCGTGATCTTGGCTCATGGTAACATCTGCCTCCCATGTTCAAGTGATTCTCCCGCCTCAGCCTCCCGAGTAGCTAGGATTACAGACACCTGCCACCATGCCAGCCTAATTTTTGTATTTTTAGTAGAGATGGAGTTTCACCATGTTGGCCAGGCTGGTCTTGAACTCCTGACCTCAGGTGATCTGCCCACCTTGGCCTCCCAAAGTTCTGGGATTACAGGTGTGAGCCACTGCACCCGGCCTGAAATGCAATTTTTAACAAGCAACCCAAAGAATGGTTCTTTTAGTGGGTAGGTGAGTGGGTGGGTTGTACACACAGAGGCACCTGATATGAGCGAGAAAAAATGGTCTTGGAGGCTCTGCCCTAGCTGATGCCTCATGGAGGACAGATGAGCCATCCCTGCAGAGCCCTGCCCAACCCACCGAATCCTGACCCAAAGTTTTGGTGTTCTTCGTCATGCAGCAAAAGAGAACTGGAACAGTTGGGAATTTACTCAGTGACCCTGGGAATATGTATGCCAAATATCTATGTGCCAAATCACAACAGTGCCATGTTTCCTAGAGGCCACGCATTCCTAGTTTTCAGTAACTCCCTTTTCAGTGGACGACACACACCACCCATTCTTGGGGACTTCTGTTTTAGGATTTTTCTGGTGGAGAATTTCATCCCAACAAAAGCACTCAATAGCCAGCTGACCTGGGCAAATCATTTCAATGCTCGTCCCTGCTCTGAAGGAATAAGGATTTTTTTTCCTTCACAGCTCACTGGACTTGGGTGAAGAAAAGAAACAAAAACCACAGGAAAACACTGCAGTGTGCAAAGTCCTGTACAAACACATCTGAGAATGAGGAAGGGAAAAGTGAGGCCCAATGAAAAGAGCAACACTCACCAAATTAACACGGTATTTGAGAAGCGAGATGACTTCCTTAATTTTCTTTATATTTTCCTGAAGCTCCTAAATTTTCCACACTGAGCAAGGCGTTACTTTTACGTAAATTCCCATAAAAGAGTCATGTCAGATCCATGGAGGAAGGCAGGGCTGGGGAGCAGCTGAGCCCCTTGCTGGCCCCACAGCCTGGGAAGCAGATGCCACCGTGGGGACATGAATTCCTGCCCTGACAGCTGGGCAAGACTTGAAGTGGTGAACGGCAAGGGCCAGGGATGTCACTTCCCCACTGGGCTGTGGCTTCCTTCCCCTAACAGTAAAACGGGAAAGGAGTGACCGCTTGTTTCTTATTTAGGACACTGACTCTGGCAGTCTAGAATTGGAGGGGACTCTTTTGTTGCTAAAGAGCAACCTTCAATTACAAGCTTAAAATAAGCCTAGTCATCCTCCCTCACTCCTGTCCTCCTCAGGGAGGTGGTTATGAAGGGGAGAGGCCTGAGCGCTCCAGGCCCAAGGCTTAACACCAGGACAGGCAAGCAGGCAGCTGGCGCTGTTGGCCAGTGGTTGGAGGCCCCACTCGCTCCTCAGCCCTTTCAAAGTAGCCTTTGGAATCCACAAGGATGGCAAACAGGCAGAAACCCCAAACAAGACTCTTGGGGCACTCGGGTTTAGGCAGTGGCTGAGTCTGTGCTGGGGCTGGAGTAGGGACTGTGGAAGGAACCTCTGGAGGGCCAAGATCGGCACTCTCTAAAGCCATATGTGGCTTCTGCCCACTCATTCTGAGATGGATTCTGTCTTTGAGGGGGAGAATCCACAGCCGTCTCTGCAGCCAGCTGCCGAGTCCGCCATCCACCTTATTCTGAACCAAGCTTTGGGGTCTAGACCGGAGCTTCTCAAACTTCAATGTGTGCACATATCCACTGTGGCCCTTGTTCACATGCAAATTCTGACTCAGCAGGTCTGGGTGGGTCAGAGGTTCTCATTTCTTTTATTTTTTGGTTTACGTTTTTATTTTTGTGAAGATGCGATCTCGCTCTGTCAATCAGGCTGGAGTGTGAACATAGCTCACTGCAGCCTTGAGCTCCTGGCCTCAAGCGATTCTCTTGCCTCAGCCTCCCAAAGTGCTGGGACAACAGGCATGCACCACCGCACCAGGTCAACCTGAGGTTGCCATTTCTAACAAGCTCCCAGGGATGCTGATGCTTTGGGTCTTCAGACGACACTCTGAGCAGTAAGGTAACAAGGGACTAGGCCTCATCCTGGGTGCTAGGTCTATGCCGCCAGCTCCCCCATCCCCATGCCCCATGCCCTCCTCCAGTGGAGGAGGCTTTGGTCCAGGGTGGGGATGCTGGATAAGCACCAAGGCCCAGGCAGAGTCCTGGGGCCATGGGGAGGTCACAGGCTGAGCGGGAAGGTAGTGGGATTACAGGGCCAGAGGAGGCCAGGTAGGAGAAGGTGACAAGACTCCCTGGGGTTCAAAGACAGTGCCTGCATCTTGGTGATCTCCCACAAGGCCCTCCTCTGGCTGTTCCCCGCACTGTGCCATGAATGTGTGTGGTGAAGTTCTACCTACTTCCTCACCAGGCAACCAAGGAAGCATTCCCATGAGAAGACTGTAGAAACAATAACGAGAGCCCCTAACATGCACCTTATGTAATTAACTCATAGCATCCACACAACAGTGCCCATGAGGCAGGTACTATCGCTATCCCTTTCTTAGGAATGGTGAAATTGAGGCACAAGGCCATTCACCAGCCCGAAGAGGCAGAACTGGGATTGTCATGCCAGCCAGCTTGTCCCCAGCAACACAGCTCGTGGCCACTTCTTTGTCCTGCATCTCTAACACAGCGCAGGTGGTTGGCTATGTCTTTGGGCGGAGGACCTGAGGTTTGAGATCCGCTTACCCAGGGCTAGTACATCTCCACCTGCCACCGCCCACTCAGGCATGCGGATCCCCCAAGCTCCCACATATAAATGTGTGTTAAATTCTACGTCTTTCAACAGAGGGGCCTGAAAAAGCTTAAGGACCACAGCCACAGCTCTGGTCCTGCAGGGAGGTGGCACTTAGCAGTGTATGGTACAGTGCACTCAATGCATTTTAGCATTATCCACAATCAGCCTCCTCCACAACCAACTTCTTTCAGTGTTCGTTTTTTTTTTTTTTTTTTTTTTGAGACAGTTTCACTGTGTTGGCCCAGGCTGGAGTGCAGTGGCGGCATCTCGGCTCACTGCAACCTCTGCCTCCTGGGTCCAAGGGAGTCTCGTGCCTCAGCCTCCCGAGTAGCTGGGATTACAGGCACACACCACCACACCCAAATTTTTTTGCAGTTTTAGTAGAGATGGAGTTTCACCATGTTGGCCAGGCTGGTCTCGAACTCCTGACCTCAAGTGATCCTCCCGCCTTGGCCTCCCAAAGTGCTGGGATTACAGGTGTGAGCCGCCACTCCCGGCCCAGTGTTTGTTTTTTTGAGATGGAGTCTCACTCTGTCGCCCAGGCTGGAGTGCAGTGGTGCGATCTCGGCTTAATACAAGCTCTGCCTCGCGGGTTCACACCATTCTCCTGCCTCAGCCTCCCGAGTAGCTGGGACTATAGGCACCTGCCACCATGCCTGGCTAATTTTTGTATTTTTAGTAGAGATGGTGTTTCACCGTGTTAGCCAGGATGGTCTCAATCTCCTGACCTTGTGATCCACCCACCTCGGCCTCCCAAAGTGCTGGGATTACAGGCGTGAGACACCGCACCCAGCCCCCAGTGTTGCTTTTTGAGAGCCACTCCCTAGTTATAGGAGTTGAGGCTCTGCTAGGAGTTGGGGCTCTGCTGATTGCTATTTTACCCAAATGTGAGTTTTAACCTGCACCATCCCCAGCCCTAGGGTTGCTGTCCCCTCCCGTCTCACCAAAATCTGGTCACACTAACAGATTTTGTTCTCCCTCCACTAGGTGCTGACTCAATCACTTACCACTGGGTTGGAGGAAGAAGAGGCGAGGCGGACTTCTTAGGCATTATTGCACAGGAAACAAAAATGCTGGCTTTAGCCAATGACAGAGTGGCCTGCACTGTGGTGCCTCATTAGGTCCAGCCTCCTGGCCCTGTGCACCCAACACCAAGATCTCCACTCTGAAGCTCTGACAGTGGCCATGCACTTAACTTTCCACATGCTCTCAAAGCAGCTCTCACAACTGCAGCCGAGTGCTTTTACATACAGCAGGGTCTTGCTGTGTCCCCCAGGCTGGAGGGCAGAGGAACGATCGTAGCTCATTGCAACCTCAAACTCCTGGGCTCAAGCGATCCTCCTGCCTCAACCTCCCAAATAGCTGGGACAACAGGCATGTACCACCATGCCAAGCTAGTTCTTAAACATTTTTTTCTAGAGATAGGGGTCTCACTATTTTGCCCAGGCTGGTCTTGAACTTCTGGTTTCAAGTGAATCTCCTGCTTTGGCTTCCCAAAGTGCTGGGAGCATAGGCAAGAGTCACTGCCACAGCCTCCAGCGCAAATAAAAATGCTGCCTGGGTGACAAGAGCTTTCCTGGGCACCTGTGACTCCCCCCAATGGTACTGCACACCTGGGACCTGCCCCAAGTGGGCTGTGGGTTTGGGGATGGGATCACAACAAATCACAGGACGGCCACGTGACCGGCAATCTGCAGCTTTTAAAATATAACATTTATTGCTTAAATGGTTTGATACAGAACAGCTTTCTTCTCATTCTGAATTTGGAAGTTCTATACAACTGAATACAAAGAGGAACAAAAAGTACCAAAACCAAACTTGTGATTCTCTGTTCATGTGGCATAAACCAGTTTTGTACATAACATGTAGCAGCAGTTTTTAAGTTCCCTTTAGAAAAATATGAATTCTACAAATTTATTATTGTTTCCTGTTTAATGCATGGGCTGAAATCACTAGGATCAATTTCCTTCTTGAAGAAAGAGGAGAGGAAAGAGACGAACAGAGGGTCAGAACGCATGGTGAATCTTCCAAAACTGGCATCCGACTGTTACGTAGCTTCCCCAGCGCTGCTTGGAACACAGCCCTCTGGGTTGTTTTGTTTTCACAGCCAGGTGTTTCATGTAGTGATTGAATCTCAGCATCATGTCCATTAATCAATGAGAAAAAAAAAAAAAAAAAAAAAAGAGAAAAAACTTGCACCTCAAAAAACTTTTCAGAAGATCCATATATATATATTTTTTTGTAAAAGCCCTGAGAGAAGGAGAAAGAGAATCAAACAAAATGTATAGAAACAAATTAGCTGGACATGCAAACTAAGCTATGATTCACCCAGAGTTTAAACAAATCACAAATTTCACAGTTTAATATTGGGGGGTGGGGGAAGGGCAAAAACAACAAACAAATAATACGTTTCTCCACCTCACTAATAAAATGTGGCAAGACCTTATTGACTACGAGGGTACAGATCAAGGCTAAGTAAAGCTTTAAATCAATAGTGATTATTGCGAGCGGCAGCCCCAGCTACACACGTCGCTGGGAGCTGATTACTGCTACATCTCACCGCAGCGTAGAGTTTAGTCACAGCTTCTCCCCACAATATTGCAAGTTTAGTGTGGAGAGTCGCAAAGAAAAAACACAAGAAACCCCAAATAATAATAACAACAAAAACAACAATAACAACTGTAATAATAATAATAATAATAATAAAAACCCTAAGGGATGTATGAACTGGTTTTAACTAAGTAGGCCAAGGGATCATTGGTTCTGATTTGCATTCATCTCTACAGTAAATAAAACCTCGTTTTTAAACTGGTTCATACACCCCTAATACAGTTAAAAATCATATATACCTCAACCTTTTTTCCTTTCGTATGCGAAGATATCACTTTTCATTATCTCAAGAATATCTATCTTCCTGTGAAGTCTGGGAGGTTGGATTTCAGAAACTGGTGAAGTGGCGGAGAAAAGGGGGCGTGCACGTTTCTGTGTGAACAAGTCTATGTAAAGGAGGAGCACTGGGGCCAGAAAAGGCCAGGGGAAGGAAGCTGGGGTACAGGGGTGCCTCCCCAGGGGAAGGCAAGAGGCTCCATACACTGCAGCAAGCACAGGGGTCCCCAGCAGCAGGCTGGCTGGGGACCCCTGAGGTCTTGGCTGAGGGACCAGGAGCTCAGGTGCAGTGGGGTACATTCTCCTCCCTGCAGGCGGAGACAGTGAGGGAAGTCTATTGCCTGCACAGGATGCTCATGGGTAAAAATAACCCTGCCTTTTTGCATCCAGGGGTGTGGGCTATTTAAGAAACTAGAAACAGCACATTTATCTTCAAGCACCAACCCCACATCGCAGGAAGGTAAATATAAACCTATTTCTTATCTGACATCTTGCATGTGTAGTTTTATTACCAGTAGTAGTATTTCCTTGCTTTGCAAATGACAGTAGCACAGCTGGGTAAGGCTTGGATTAGGCTTAGCAGGAAGACTGGGAATACCTCGCTCACGAGTAATGTGCCTGGTCACTGGGTCACTGCTTTGCTTTCTCCAAAGTCATCTCTGCAGTGCTCCAGGCACGGCCCTGGCTTCTTGATGCCTGTTCCCTGGATGCATGCATCCTCACTCCACCCTCTCTGAGCTGCTCCTGGACCATGCTTGGGAAGACTGCTCACGGCCCCTTCTAAATTCTGCAGTGACAGAAGAAAGGCTTGTCTCATTACAGTAGAAGAGCTACCACCCGAGGGTGCCAACCACAACCGCAGGCACACGTTAACACGGGGACCTGGGTGCGGCACAGGTCTCCCAGGACAAATATTGCCCATTTGATTCTGCTCACTGCAGAGAACAGCAAACTGATGAACTAATAATAATAATAATAATAATAATATTAATAATACATATACTGAAAGGGAAGAGGAGGCAATCAAATATATCCTATCCGTGCATGTTTTCCATAGGTTAAGACGCCAGGGGAGTAACTCTTCTCTATAGTTAAGAATGGATGTCTTGAAACTTGAACAGTGACCATGTCTAATGCTGACAGACTGGAAATGGACATGAGGCTGAAGCTAGAATCTTCCCTGGTTTTGGCCTGAAACCATATTGGAAACCTTCATCAACCACATCCTGTAATACCAAGGACCAGATGACAGCTCCACCATGAAGCACAAAGAAAAAAGGAAAATGTCTATTTAAGAAATTATCATCTTATCCATCTTTCCTCTGGTCATTTACATGAAATTCACATCATTTTCTTCCAGTTATTGGCTATGGGTACCCAAGGGTATGTTTTTTCCTTCTGTTTCCAGCTCACAGAACAAACGGTGCTATCACAGATTCACAAGAACAAGCTCACACACACCAATACAAAATAACGCTAATGCTCAAATGAAGAGGTCCTCTCCAGACAATTCATTATAATATTTGTTTTGTTTAAGAAGTCATTTTGGAAAAATACAACACCCATGATAATATGGAGGGATCCGGTAAGTAGTTAAGGCACTGGAATCGGCACGGGCTGTGGCCTCCCGCGCAGGCTGCGGTAAGGCTATGGCACTGAGCGAGCAGCCACGCTCCTGCTTGTCTCTCTCTCTCTCTCTCTCTCTCTCTCTCTCTCTCTCTCTCACTCCTCAACAGCCAAAGGGCACTGAGGAAACCCCATGAAGTATAGACGCTTTGCTCTGCTGGCTTTTGTCTGTGCTGAGGGGGACTGAGGCTGTCACTCCATCCCCACGAGCTGGGAGGCGCCATCAGCTGTGGCCAGGATTGGGTGGGCAGGCCTCTTGCTGCGCGGCTCCAGCAGGTCCTGCCCCAGGGCCGCCGGGCTCTCTGGGTTAAGGTCACCCTGGCCAGGCTCAGACGGCCACCCTGCCGTGACCTTCTCCTCCCTGTGGCTGCAGTCCTTGGTGGCACTGGCCAAGCCCTCCTTCCGGCTCCGGGTGACAGCCATGTGGTTGCTGGCATTGGGAGCCAGCTCAGCCTCGTTCTCTGAGACGGCGTTGTTGCCGCTGTGGGTGGACTCATTCTCGCTGTCCTCCTCACCCCGCTCTTCCTTGTCGCTGTCCTTCCCGTGGTGTTTGGCATGCCTGGCTTTCTGGTGGATCCGCTGGTGGCGAACCAGGCTGTGCTTCAAGGTGAAGGTTCGCTCGCAGGTCTGACATTTGTATGGCCTTTCCCCTGGAACAATGGAAGAAAGAATTTCCATTAACCAAAAGGCACCAGTACCCACTGCACCCTGCTCTGCACAGGAAGAATGAGGCTCCCAGGCTATGTGCGGGGGGCCAGGACTCCGTCCTACTCAGCCAGAGGCCTCTTCCTTGAACCAGCAAACTGAGGACGGACAAGCTCTGTTTGCTGGTTCAAGCTGTCAGTCTGAGACCTTTCCTCTCCTTCCTCTCTCAGCCCAGGCACTCTACATACTGATCCAGAAAACCCAGGTCCCAGAAGCAGAAGCCTCAGGAGATGTGCAGACTGGCCTCGACCAGAGACTGGGAAGGAATCTAGAGGGGGACAGGAGTGGACCCTCTCAGGGATCTGTATGGACAGCAGCACCTAGGTCGGGGGCACCAGTTACCCTCTGCATTGCGATGTGGTGCAGCGGGGGCTTTCCTGATGGCTCACACGCCAGGCCCAGGGCAGGGCCCACCACGCTTGTTGGGAGCCCAAGAATATCCCTCTTCTGAGAGCCAAGGACCCTGGCCCTTCACACGGGCAAGCGCAGGGCAGAGCCGACTGCGCTGGGTCGGGGCACATGTGTTCACTGCGGGCTGCAGCTGTGACAGGGAGGGAAGCTGCGGCTGAGAGGAGGGACAGGTTATTTTGGAAAGAAGAAGGATATATCTCTGGACTCCATGAGCATATTCAGGTCTTTGTGTCAAAGTAAGCGCCCCTGCTCTGGGGTCTGCAGCCTCCACCCTGCAGGTGGTGGGTGAACTCTAGAACGGTGTGAAGGGCAGTGGCTAAGGGTCCTGTCCCAGTCATCTCAGCCGAACTGCACGGCTAAGAAAGGAAAAGGCCCTCCTGACCCTAATGGATCACCCAGGGTGCCTGCCCCACAGCGGCCTGGGGCAGTGCCTGTCGTCCAGGCCACAGGACTAGACAGGACTAAGTGGCCCAAATGCCCAGCACAAGCACCCTCTCCTAGATACCTCTATGAAACAGGGCAGCTGTTACCCCCACTCTACAGATGGGGAGGCGGAGGCAGCAGAGCTAAAGGCGGATCACAGCGTTCTCAAAAACACAACGGCCAAGGACCCTCTCCTGCCTGGCTGCAGGAGGCCTGCACCGTCTTCAAGGGCTGAGAGTACAACTCCTTAAAACTCCTAGTTCACGGGCTTAAAGGGCACACCGGCAACGTAAGCAAACGTTCTCTCGGTGGCCTCCAGCGCCGCTTCAGGGGAGCTCCTAGGAGAGGTGCCCGGCTCGCCTCCTCTTGTTGGGCCGGGGACCTGGCCTGCCCTGGTTACCTGTGTGGGAGCGCATGTGCCGGGTCAGGTCCTGCAGCGACCAGAACCGCTTGTTGCACACGCTGCAGACCTTCTTCCTCTTGTCTGCCTTGCTGGCCACGCTTTTGGGGGAGTCTGTCTTTGGTTTCTTGTCATCGTCGCTCTTCTCTGAGGACCTTTTCTCGGCCGCGCTCTCCCCGTCGGAGGGGCCCTCCGTCTCCTCCGCGAGCTTTTCCGCCGGGGCCTCCCCGGCACCCGGGGCCGACTCCACCACCTCTGCCGGGGTCTCGGGGGGCTTCTCCTCCTGTTCAGGGGCGGGCTGGGGCCCCTCCTCTGCAGTGCTGGCGCCATCTCCCTTCTCGTCCTTGGGCTCCTGGCGGCCGTGCGCCTTCCGGTGGCGGCTCAGGGTGCCCAGGAACTTGAAGCTCTTCCCACAGGTGTCGCAGGCGAGCTTCTGCTCCTGCGAGGCCGCGCCCCCGGCGCCTGCCTCGCCGTCGCCCTCCGCCAGCTTGAAGTCCATGAGCTTGGTGGCGAAGTCCAGGTCCAGGCTCTGGTTGCTCGACGCGTCCTCTTCCGCGCCGTCGGCGTCCCCAGTGCTCTCCTCAGTGCCATGCTCCTCCTCCGGCTCATGGCTCTCCCCACGCCCGTGCTCTTCCCGGTGCACCGGCGAGGCCGTTTCCGCCGTGGCCTGCTCCACAGGCGCATCCCCTGCGACCTGGCGGAGCTCAGTGGCGCCCTCCGACGGCTGCTCTCTGTCCCGTGAGGTGAGGTCTAGCACTTCGCCCGCGGCGGCTGCAGTCTCCGCATCCGACTGACTGTCTGTGGGGCAAGCACAGCGGGGAGGGCTCAGAGGGGCACCACCAGGTACGCCCATGCCAGGGATGTCGCCGGGAATGGGCTAGACCCACGCCAGCAGCCTGAACCCCAAACCAGTGAGGACTTCTTTCGGCCCAAATCCTCACCACCTGTTACATCCCCCAGGAGGACCAAGATGACCCTGGGGACGTGAAGAAAGGCAAAAGCAGCCTCCACATCACCTCAGGTGTGTTCCCAGGGCTGGCTGTGCCCCTGAACCCCTGGCTTCCACTGCCCCCGCCCCCAGGAAGGTGTGAGTGACTCAGGCAGGGCAGACAGGGGCTGCGAGATAGGAGAGGGGTGCATTCCAGAGACTCGCAGCGCTAGGGAAGTTGAGGAAGCTTGAGTTATAAGTTATTTTTCCAGTGCAAAGAGATCATACAAACATGCAACATACACAGGACCACCCCTACCCCTAATCCTCCAAAGCATGGTCTTGATGAGTTTCACAGGAAACGACCCCAAGCCTGCGTTGTGTGTGTATGGTATGCACACTCTTGCCTGACGCTCATCTCCAGGTGGAGGCTGCAGAGACCCAAGGGGGCGCAGGCAAGCTTGTAGGCTTCCTAGCTGTCAGCCTCCCAGGGGTGGTGGAATCTTTCAAAGGAAGGGCACCCTTGATGCCAGGCTTGGCAACAGCACACAGTGAGGGGAGCGGACTGTGAAGGGCTGTGGGTGCCTGTGAAGACAAGGGGTTCTGGGTTCCAGGCATCTCACCTACCCTGACTTCCTGCCTCTTGATTTGTTCCTATCTGTCCATTCCACCCAGTAAAACTGTATGTGGAAAGCCTATCAGTTTTCAACAGTCCTTTTAAGGGATGGCACGGCTGCAATATTCACATCAAACAGTGTCAAAAGGCCTTCTCTTTACTAAGGTTGAAAGAAGACTTAATAACTTCTTAAAATTATGCATTACGACAGTACATTGGAAGCTGGTGGGACCTATTATTTAGCTGCAGATCCTATGTCTGATTTAGTTTTTATTATTTTTTCAAGACGGAGTTTCGCCTTGTCGCCCAGGCTGGAGTGCAATGGTGTGATCTCCACTCACTGCAACCTCCACCTCCCGGGTTCAAGCAATTCTCCTGCCTCAGCCTCCCAAGAGCTGGGATTACAGGCGCCCACCACCACGCCCAGCTGATTTTTGTATTTTTAGTAGAGATGGGGTTTCATCATGTTCGCCAGGCTGGTCTCGAACTCCTGACCTCAGGCGATCTACCCACCTCAGCCTCCCAAAGTGCTGGGATTACAGGCGTGAGCCACCGTGCCCGGCCACTGTCTGATTTATTACTGCAGGGATTCAAGTTCCTCTGATAATTGGGTGGATGAAAGTCATTGTTTTATGGCACAAGTACGAGATGCCCCTCCCTCAATAGGCCAGATGTGATTGCAGTCCTTGAGCCAGCAGATTCACGCACCTAACCTGGATTCTCACTTGACGTGATCAGGTGTAACTACAATGTCAACCTGCATCCATCACACCTCCTCAATGTCACATGCTTGATGATTTGCCATCAAGGCGGTCAGGAGGGCTGGGGTAAGGAGCTGGTTCTGCCCCGTCCTGAGGTCTGAGGAGACAGTACCTACTGTTCACACCTGCTTGGGGCTTTAGGCTTTACCCACAGCCATCTGCATAACGCGGCTACTTACATCATTTCATTTCATTAGTTTTACACTGACTGCACTTTTTGGCAGCCACTGTTTGGGTATCTCAAGAGGTTTCAGAAAGAAATATTATGGTGTGAATATAACATTTTAAAGAAGAAATGATTTTGCAAAATTATCCAAAAGCTTAAAGAATATGAGTCCTGGGATATGCACACCAATGTCTGGGCCACATTCCAAGGAAAAACTAGATGTTCGTTTTTCTTGAATCATTTCAACAGAGAGCATCTATAGAATGGATATTGGTATAAACTCTACAATAAAAATACAGAACGCTCAATTTGTTTGCTGGCTTTGTGGGTAATTTCCCTCCCTAGAGTCAGGGTCTCCCTATGTTGCCCAGGCTGGTCTCGAACTCCTGGGCTCAAGGGGTCCTCCTGCCTTGGCCTCCCAAAGTGCTGAGGTTATAGGCATAAGCAACTGTGGCTGGCCTTTGTAAGTAATTTTTTTTTTTTTTTTTGAGATGGAGTCTTGCTCTGTCACCCGGGCTGGAGTGCAGTGGTGCAGTCTCAGCTCACCGTAACCTCTGCCTCCTGGGTTCAGGCGATTCTCCTGTCTCAGCCTCCCAAGTAGCTGGGATTACAGGTGTGAGCCACCATGCCCAGCTAATTTTTGTATTTTTAGTGGAGACAGGGTTTCACCATGTTGGCCAGGCTGGTCTCAGAACTCCTGACCTCAGGTGATCCACCTTCCTCGGCCTCTAAAAGGGCTAGGATTACAGGCATGCGCCACCACGCCCGACTGGTAATTTTTAAAAGAAGGTTTAATCTCTGGTTACTTCCCCTTTGTCCCCAGTATATCCTAGACTACACTTCTATTTTTTTTTTTTCAGCAAAGAACATGCATTATTTTAACTGCACAGAACATATTTAACATGATAGAGCTTTAAAGAAAGTAAAATAAATTTTGAAACAAAACCCAAAGAAATATAAGATCAAATTGTTCCTGCTCTCGGGCCCTTCCTTTGCGCGGATAATGGAGAGAGATCACCCGGAGTACAATGAAAGGCCAACTCCCTCTTTGGACACAGGGGGCTTGGTTGTATTCTACCAAACTCCCACTAGGGGGAGTGTTTTAGCAGTGTAGGCTGTGCCCTTCACATTCTAAACAACTGATTTTCATTAGTGATTCTCATGAACAAAAAACTTCACCTCTTCACCTATCATGAATACTCAACTTATAAGGCCAGGTGCTGTATAAATCCCCGCCCTCAACACCCAGACTCCCAAATGCAGGTAGCTGAGCTGATGACTTTTTATAAGCAATGCTACCTTAAAAATATGCAGTTCTTCCCTCTCCCCATCAGTCCCTCGGTTTGTGTTGTTCAACAACTAAGAAAACTGTTAGAGGAAGCAGAAGGAATCCTGGTAGATAATAAACCCGCAGCTCCTCCTACAGGACTGTGGAGACAGCCCTAGTCAGCTCAACAATTAAAGATCTATTGCTTCCTAAAAATTAAATGAGCCTCAACCACTGTGACAGACTACCAACCTAAGTAATTATCTGACCTGGCAGGGGTGCCTTTGCAGGGGAAGCTGCTGTGTCTGCACTCCACCCAAAGCATCTGAGGATGGAGAGGGTTTCCTGAGGTGTAGTCCATGCTGACATGTGGGACTTCTGGGCTGGTAAAGGCGGCCACCATTAAGGGAGAGCTTAAACACTTTCATGTTTATACGAATTAAAAACAGCCCTATGTAGGTGCCTACAAACACAAAGACGGGGCATCATCGGAGGAAGGACCAAGGGCATATCCCTCAAGGGCAGAGGGGGCCAGGCTGCCTCTCTGTCCAGGACAGTGAATGAAGAATTTCAGTTGAAATTTGAATATTCAAAATGGACCTTTAAGGGAGAACTGCCCCCACTGTGGCATTTTTAGCATTCTTTTGGGGGACTTTATGAGACTGAAAAATGTCAGACCTACATTATAAAACATGTGTAGGAATTTTAAGAAAATGCCACCTAGGCATACAAGCCTAGAAAACCCCTCAAGGACCTCCTTGGTCATTTCCTTCCCCCCCCCCCTTTTTTTTAAGTGGTCTTCCTTCAAAGCCTCACTTTTTAAACTTCACTGGGGGGGGGGAACCCAGAATGAAGGCTTCACCCCATGTCCATCATGCTCATCTGCATTTTAAAATCCTCCTTGAAATCACTAAACTCTGCCTCCCTAAACTTTTCCCTCCCACTTAAATCTCAGTCCCTTTTCTCACCATGGACTGTGACCACAACTAAACCAAACATGTATTTTCTCTTTGCTGGTTTCACATTACAACTTTCAGTGACTTTTCTTTTTCTAGAGGCTTTGTCCCTTCAAGGAACCCTATATAACTTCCGGGGTGGGGTGGAGGTGGGAAAGGGCTTTGTTGGGATTTGGACAACAAAACCTATGACTGCAAACTTATAAATACACTTGGTGCTGAACCGAAGCTAAGACCACAAATTCCGACTCAGCTTTGTGTCTGCAGATGTCAGCAGGAGCCCCAGTCTTTGTTCCTCCCTTATGATAAAGAAGCTGAATGCAAAATGCACATCCAGCACGGAGTTACTAAGACTTATTTGTAAACATGGAAACCCAAGGGCTCCCCCTCAGCTCCCTCAGTTACCGGCTGCTTTCGCTACTGTGGAACCACTATGGGAAGATCACAGGGCAGCTTTCTAAACCAGGATGAAAGAAAATGTTCCAGACTAACAGGTAATGTGGCGGCTGATGGTTAAACATTAACAGGATGGTCTGCAGCAAACGCGTGCCTGCCAGCACTGGTGTGCGCTTCCAGTGGGCTGAACTCCAGGTCATCTTTGGCTCACAGGGGTCCAAGTTAGGCTAAGATTCCGTGGGCACCCACATCTTTCTTCACTCAAAGATACTGGTGAGTTATGTGGAAGTGGAAGCTGGGGAAGCAGTGAACAAACCAGCTTACCCTTTCATACCCTCAGAGGATCTGATCTAGACTGGCGGTTGGGCAGTCAAGAGCACTCACAGTTGGTTTCACTAGGGCTCAGTGGGAGGCGTAGAGATGGGCAAAGGGTGGCCTCTCCACTTCAGATACACCCTGTACCCCTGTAACCAAGGTAAGGACAAGGGGCTAAGATTAATGCCCAACCCTCTTCCACACTGACTCCTGAGGCAGGGGTGCCTCGTAACTACAGGGCACCCCATCTCCACCCTAGTCTGAGGAATAGAAGCCACAGGACGCAAATACAACCCTAAAAAAACACAGCTGGGGGGATCTCTTCGCAGCCACAAGATAGTGTCAGGTTTTCAAGACTTGCAAAACTGGACCCAGCACCATGATGCTGTCCCTGTTACTAATCAGTGCCAACTGGCGGGATATCTAAGTGGCCTGCAGCAGGCTGGCTTTCGTTTTGTTTGCTCTTGGGGGTGAGGATGGAGAACCCCAGCAGTCCGAGCGGATGGAGTGTACTGATAGAGGACATGAGTAAATTCAGAAACTATAAGGGAAACAAGGTGGCACAAGACGTATCGGGCAGCCGTTAATTGCTCTGTGGGTGCTGGAGGGAGGAAGCACACATCAGCACAGGAGAATAATACCCGGATTCAGGTCAAGCAGAGATGTGATTAAAGAAAGGACATGCACAGTGCTTTTTCAAACAAGGACAGTCTTACACCGGGAAGAGAGTTATTGAAAAGAAGAACACCGCACCCCTCGTTCCTACAATACCCTGATATCCCAGGGAGCCCAGGCCTGCTCCCGAGGAGGCTGCAGCGGCTAAGGCTCCCCAAACCTTTAGGTTTCACATCCCCTTTAGATGAGTTCATACCCAGGGCTAAAGTTGTAAGCCTTCCCATACATCCCACCTCCCAACATCGGGAACAAAGGCCTCTTCTGCCAAGAGGGTGACAGATCTTCCCTAGCAGCCCCGAGAGTCACCGAGGGGCACTGTCACTGTTTTCTGCTGTCTGTCTAGGCGATCTGACCCAGGAGTTATACTCCCTCCCAATCATCAGCAGGGCCTGCCTTTCTATTAACAGGCTGTGGGCTCTGAATCCTACAGAGAAGTGAACAAGCAGCCCCTCCACAGCTCGGACTGGAGTTTGCTACAATTCTTAACCGAACTCCTCTCTCTCCCTCTTCCTGGGTTCTTGTTCACCTGGCGGCACTACCTGTGCTATCATGGGATCCAACATCACTCTCTTTTGACTGGGGGATAAGCCCGTTTCTTCTCAGGGAACAGGTGGTAACTCCGTGTTTGCGCAACTGGTGGCGTTCACAGTTAGATTTGGTAGAAAAGAAGGCATCGCATTTTTGACAAGGGAAGGGTTTCTGACCTGAAGCAGGAAAAAAAATATATATTTATCTGGCTTTCTACTGCAATGAAATAGAAAAGTCGCTTTTGTTTATTCTCCTGGGATCATTGGCAGTTGTTCCCCCCTCCTCCATCCCTTCAAGAAAATTAACAAAACACATTAGAAAAAAAAAAACCATCAATGACTAAAATGATCATTCTCCCTTTTCCTAAGTTGAATGGAATATGAATTTTTGTCCTCAAAATACTAAAATAAATGAAACTGAAAAATATACATTTAAAGTAAAACAACGGTATTACAATTAAAATATTAACGACAACAAAAAAAAGCGAATGAAGAGATTTTAGAGCACAGCAAGAAAACACCTATATTCTATCACAAAGAGAAAGACGCCCTCTAACGAGTTCTAGTGTGGCAAGGACACCGTAATATGGACACTAGGAAATCCAATGGGGAACCCCTGGGTATCTTTGGGGGCCCATGAAGAGAAGAAGTCAGGGACAGCCCCCAGCCAGGGTGGCCAGTCCCCCTTCCTGGCCTTGGTGGCTGTGTCCCTCCCACAGGGGAACGGGAGCAGTGAGTTCTGACTTCCCAGGACAACTCCTGTCTGACTTGCCGAGACATCCTGCAGTGACCTCTGTTCAAGTTCACTGTGGTCCTAGGTGGCAACAGTCAGGAGATCTTCTCATTAAAGGTTCTTTGTTCCCCCTGCTCCAAGCTTGGTTGCAAATGAGTGACCAATACGTAACTATGTCTGCATTTGATCATGTGCTCCACTCAACAGATGTGCATGTGAAGAGGACATTTTGGCAGCCCTGCCTCGCCCCTAGACCCATCCCAAACGCACAGATGGGTGAGCCACTGAGAGAGGCACAGTCCCCTCCTGCTTTGGTCTGCCTACCCTCTCCTTTTACTTGGATTCCTTTTGTGCTGTAAACATCATGTTTCAAAATGCAATAGAAGCTCCTCTACAACTTGTCCTGGGTTTGTGCGGATGCATGTGAGGGAGAAAGAAAGCACAAGGGAAAAAGGAGGTGGAGAGGAAAAGAGAGGAGGAGGGAGGGGATCAGGGGCCTTCAGGAGGCGGAAGTTGGTGGTGCATCACTTGTGTATCACTGAATTCCTCCCTTTCCCCCAAGTTGCTGGAGTCCAAGGTCCCAGTTGCTAATGTTACAGGGTAAAAGGTTTTGTGTGTTAACCAACATGACTTCAGAGCTGGGGCCCAGTACTTTTGTCTCATAACCCTAGGATTGCCACAATTAAACACAGCTCCCTGGAAACACAGATCACAGGGGCCTCTGGCGTTAGATTAATGTCGATAGAAGCCTGAACTAGTGCAGGTGCCCAAGGCCACGCACTCCCCTGTGAATGCACAGCAAGGGCCTGGCACCTGGGGACCAGCCAGAGGGGCCACGTGTTTTCCCAGGGGAAGGAGGGACTAGCCTTAACCGGCACTGGCTGTGTCACACGACTCCAGGGGGCGCCATTCATACAGAGCCTGAAGGTGTGGACCTGGCACCGCCCCCATGACAGCATGGCCACAATTTCACATCAGGAGTAATAATCAGAGACAGGGGACATTGATTCCCTCCTGAGCTAAAAGACCCTTTAAGATGATGCTTACAAATCTCCTCAGGCGCTTTTAAGAATAAAGATGCAACAATCAAAGACAACAGAATTAGAAACCCGGAAAGGGCAGAATCAGACACCCAGAAATCCGGCCTGTGTGCTTCTGAGTAGCTCCACAAGGCAACCTGAACAAAAGTGGAGAACCCCACTGACTGTTTTCAGGGTCTCCTCATATCATTCTGCAGGTGTTTTCTGCAAAATTTATTTTTAAAACATCCACATTAAAAAAAAAAAGTGTGACTAGTTGTACAGTATGTCAGTGTTCATGGTGCGTCTTCCAAATTACTTCTTGTGGTCATGTGCGGTGGCTCACGCCTGTAATCCCAACACTGTGGGAGGCCAAGGTGAGCAGATCACTTGAGGCCAGGAGTTCAAGACCAGCCTGGCCAATACGGTGAAACCCCATCTCTACTAAAAATACAAAAATTAGCTAGGCATGGTGGTGCACACCTTAATCCCAGCTACTGGGGAGGCTGAGGTGGGAGGATTGCTTGAGCCTGGGAGGCGGAGGTGGCAGTGAGCAGAGATTGTGCCACTGCACTCTAGCCTGGGCGACAGACAGACTCTGTCTCAAAAATAAAATAAAATGAAAAAAATTACTTATTGTTTTTCATTTAAAATTGAACACAGTATTTAATAATTTCAAGTAAAAATAAAGTACTTTTAACATTTTATTGTCAAAAGGTAACACTGCTGCTTCTCTGAGTCTGGCCAGATTGAGAAAAGAACTGGGCCAAGAGGAAAACAAGTAAGAAGCTACTATGATAGGATTCTTGATTTCAAAGAAAACAATCGGCTTCTCGCTCCCCCCTGTCACATGGTTTACTCTGTAATTTTCACACTGGTAAGTGCGTCACCTTTACAGTTGGTTAGGACTGCCAGGCTGACGTCCCCATGAGAAGGTCCCTATTAATGCTAAATTCAGAAAACAATCCATGATGTGAAAGTATTGCATCAAACTACAAAGGCTCCCAAAGTGACATAACAACTCACATGAGTCATTAGAAGCTCACATTTCACTGCGTAAGTCTGACATTTTTACATAGTGGTGGGCTCTCTGGATTGCAGGGATGCAGGAAAACGGGCCCGTTTAGTATTTTATAATAACGCAGGTTTCAAAAACACTTGTTGGCCAGCCATCTATATAGAAAGTAGCAAATGATTCTATTTATTTGGTAGCTGCCACGAATAACTGCTTTAGAAGGGGATTTGTAAAAGCACCTGTAACCACAGTGAGTTACCTGCGCACTCAGGACCTACAGCATTCTGCAAGCCCCAACGCGAGCGCTTAAACCATCAGCCAGCTGGGCAGAGTGGCTCATGCCTATAATCCCAGCACTTTGGGAGGCCAACGGAGGTGGATCGCTTGAGCCCAGGAGTTTAAGACCAACTTGGGCAACACAGTGAGACCTTGTCTCTATAACAAATAATAATAAAAAAAAAAGGCCGGCACGGAGGCTCACACCTGTAATCCTAGCACTTTGGGAGGTCGAGGCTGGTGGATTACCTGAGATCGGGAGTTCAAGACCAGCCTGGCCAATGTGGTGAAACCCTGTCTCTACTAAAAATACAAAAAATTAGTTGGGTGCAGTGGCGCGCACCTGTAATCCCAGCTACTCTGGAGGCTGAGGCAGGAGAATCGCTTGAACCCGGGAGGCAGAGGTTGTGGTGAGCCAAGATCACGCCACTGCACTCCAGCCTGAGCTACAGAGCAAGAATTTGTCTCAAAAAATAAAAAAATTAGCCAGGCATGGTGATGTGCACTTGTAGTCCCAGCTACTTGGGAAGCTGAGGCAGGAGGATCACTTGAACTCAGCCAGGAGTTCAAGGCTGCAGTGAGCTGTGATCATGCCACTGTACTCTAGCCAGGGTGCACACAGGCACTCTAGCTTGGGTGACAGGGTGAGAGCTTGTCTCAAAAAAAAAAAAAAAAAAAAAAAAACCTCCAAAAACAAACAAAAAAAATTAGCCAGTGTTTACTCTCCCAGAACAGTCAAGAAACGAAGAAGGACATTGGGGCAAGAGAAGAGTGAACAGTGAGAATAGTTTGATGAGGAGATTGGGGCCTTGGCCTCCAAGATAAAAAAAAAAAAAAACAGAACTGAAAACATTTCTGTTCATTTTTCAAAGACAATCAGGGTTAGAAAGGTGGGGTCTAACTAGCATAGAAAACCTTGCAGTTGCTTTTCTTTTTGTAACAAGATGACAGCCTGAGCAGCCCAGCCTTCTCTCCATTGCTCCTCCACCCCTGCAGGCAGGTTTCTTTCTTTTGGTATTTTCTCTCTGTATTTGGCAGAAGTGTACACAGGACTGGGTACAAACGGCCAAAGCTGTCTTTTAAGAAAGCTAAAAGGAGCCAAATACAAGTGGTGTCCCAGGTGCTTTCCACACCCAGGTTTGGATGACTCACTGACCGAAGCTCTGACCCTCACTGCCAGATAGAAGCAGGGAGGAAAGGGTGTGGGGGGAAAGCCTGAGCCGGCTCAAAAAAGGCGCTCAAAGCACCCATGAGAAAGTAAGCAAGCCAGGGAAGCCCGGAATGGACACCCCATAGTCCCAAGCCCATCACTGTGGGACAAGGAACTGGAGCAAAGGGAAGGGGGAAGAAAATGAGGACAGAGGCTAGAACAGACTGGCTGTGTTTCCTGGCACCCTCTCCTCCACCTGTGGCCTAAAAACACACGAGATGCTCCCGAGGGGTAAAGGCAGGAACAGTGCACTCTTGTCTCCTATGGAGTGGCGCGTTTAGGTAGAGAAAGGTAAGGAACCAGGAACTGTCCTCATCAGCAGGAAAGTATGGTCTGGGAGAGAGCTGGAGAGGAGTGGAAGGAAGGAGGAAAGGCAGGTGTGTGTGGAGACTGTGCCAGGGGGTATGAAAAATGACAGCCCTGCCAGCTTCCTCATCAAACACAGTTCCTGGAACCTGAGCCGGGAGCAAGAAAAGGCTGAGGCCACATGCTCCTTGCCAGCAGCCAGCAGGTATACCCCTCGTTGGACACTGAACACCGGATCTGCTTCTTGCTGCCCCTTTGAGGACTGGGAGGACTGGAGAACACGTGTTTTGAGACAAAGTAGAGACAGTACAGTAATCTGCTGAGGGGGTAGGAGGAGGCCAGCATTCAAGGTGTAGACAGTTTGTTTAAATGCAGTCCAAAACCAGATGCTGCTCAATGCTTCTGGCTGGAACTCAGCTAGATTTTAACACTGTACTCAAAAACACAAAACGGCCAGGCACCGTGGCTCACGCCTAAAATCCCAATACTTTGCAAAGCTGAGGAGTTCGAGAACAGCCTGGGTAACATGGTGAGACCTTGTCTGTACAAAAGCAAAAAACTAGAAAAAACAAAAATACCCCACAGAACATCTTCTCCGAATAACACCTTTGTTTGCAGGGTGGCTGCAGAGTCAATGTTTAACATGTGTACACTCAAGACTTTTTTCAAAGTTTTGGAGACAGCGCCTCACAGAAGCCTAGGGAGCCAAGGATCCATGTGGTTCTGAGTGACAGCAGAGCTGCCTACCAGGAGAAAGATCAGGTCTGTGGGCTGAGGGGCCATCAGGTGACTTCCCAGGCTCCTTCCAGCTCTAATGCTCCGTGAATGGAAAATGCTCTAACACGACACTGGATGTAGCCAAGTGCTCCATATAACATGATTTAGCAGTGGTGATGCTGAACATCCCTGGAAGCTGAGAGTGAAGCCCAGCAAAGGAAATTAATGGAGCTCAATGGGCACCAACCTTCATACAGTGTCTATGCATGTGGCTAACACGATTCTGTAGTCATTAAGTCTGAAATTAGCTAATAACATTCTGATCCACAGTGGTGTCCCCCCTTATCTCAAACTACTTCCAAACCTTCTGCAATGTGGACATGTGGGAACACAGGGAGACATGGAAGGTGCACTCTGCCCGCCTTCTGCCTTCACACAGAGGACACACTGGGCACACACACCCTGACCAGTGGGCAGTTGCACAGAACCGGACCCTGGCTTGGAACAGTAGCTCCATCTCTTATTCCCCATATGGCTGTAGGCAAGTTACTTAGCTCCTTAAAAGTAAACCTCAATTTCCTTGTGGCAACACATGGATGACATCACCCTCACAGGATTGTCATGAAGACTAGCTCTACCAAGAACATATTATGGTAGGATACAGGGACTGCGCCAAAGCAGACACATCTATCAAGGTTATCAATAACTTTTAAGGGACAAGAGGCAGAATGTTTATATTTATATCTACCCCATCCTAACTTAAACAAACCTCCTGCTTTCTTGCTCAGTTTCAGATGCTACTAAATTTTAAACCAACACTGACATTTTGGCATTCAAAAGCCAGGCAATCATGACTGGATTCACAAATGGGAACACATATCAGGCACCTGCAAAGACATGGGCACAACTCTTAAAAAAGAAAATACTAGAAGAGGAAGATGGGGAGGTTGGGTGACAGCAGGGGGAGGTGGGAGCACCGAGGAAGGGGGCGAGCCAAGCCAATCATCAGATCCAGACCATCTGCTTTCTGAAAAGTGGTAACAGAAAGACTCACTTCTCCATAAACTCTCAGTAGGCGATAAACAGGTGGCACCCAAAAAAGGGTAGCAAAAGACATTGCTATAAGGGGCACCTTCTCTTGAAGATGCATTTTCTTCCCTGAACTGCTGTCATCATTAGAATGGTTGCTTTACTTGTCAGGCTTAAACTATTTTAACAGGGAGACAGTGGTATGAAAGGGCAGTACATACTTTACAAATCTAGAAATCCTGGTTCTCCTTGAGTCCTCCCTGGATAGGCACTCCTGACTTGCTACTCCTCAATCCCTGGATTCAAGGACCCACCACAGCAGAAGGAAATGCCGTGTCTGTGTGGCAAGCTCTGGTGACCAGTGCAGCCACTGAGAGTCCTATCGCTCCCAGCCACAACTCCCCTCTGGCTCCCAGATTCCTCTCCCTCCCCAGGCTCCATTCTGCACACTGTTCAGGTATCCAGCGGTGGCTCCATGACCTCCCTCCTGCTGTTCCACCTCATCTAGGAGAAACATCCTTCCACGAGCTTCTCCAAAGCTTTGTGAATGCATTTCCACCTGGACACAGAGCACAGCTCACACCAATTCCCACAACCCACCCTCAACATCCTGTCATAAACCTCCTGACTACCTTGGGTTACCATATTTAGCGCAAAAAGAAAAACCCACAAAAAAAACCCAGGATGCCCAGAGCTAAATTTGAATTTTGGATAAACAAATAATTTTTTAGTAAATCCCAAGAACTACATAAAAATACTTATACTAAAAATTATTTGTTGTCTATCTGAAATTCAAGTTTAACTGGTGTTCTGTATTTTATTCACCAATCCAGTACCATTTGGTTTTAGGCCCTATCTATTTATTAATATTTTGGTTGTAAACTCCAAAAAGATAGGATCTCACTAATTTGCGCTTAGTTCAATAACACAAATCACTGAATACTGAGACTGTTCACTGAGAAAATTTAGAAAATTATAATTCAGATGAGAGTTGTATGGCCATTTATATACTAGAAGCACCTGATAACAAAATTATTTAAAGTATATTCCTATCCTAAACTTCTCTTTAAAAATCAGCTTCTAGAAACTAACATTTGAAAAATATTTTTGGGCAGGCCAGGTGCAGTGACTCACGCCTGTAATCCCAGCACTTTGAGAGGCCAAGGTGGGCAGATCACCTGAGGTCAGGAGTTTGAGACCAGTCTGGCCAACATGGTGAAACCCCATCTCTACTAAAAATACAAAAATTAGCTGGGCATGGTGGCGCATGCCTGTAATCTCAGCTACTTGGGAGGCTGAGGCAGGGAGAATTGCTTGAACCAGGGAGGCAGAGGTTGCAGTGAGCTGAGATCATACTACTCCACTCCAGCCTGGGTAACAGAGCGAGACTCCGTCTCAAAAAAAGAAAAATACTTTTGGGGCCAGGTGTGGGGGCTCATGCCTGTGATCCCAGCACTTTGGGAGGAAGAGGCAAGAAAACTGCTTGAGCCCAGAAGTTTGAGAGCAATATAGTGAGACTCTTTTATTTAAAAAAAAAAAAAAAAAAGAAAAAGAAAAAAGGAAGATACTTTTGGGGTATCACTTTGACAATTTAAGTTTGTTACTTAGAATTTTTTCACACTTGGGTGTGAGTTCTTGGGGATGGACAGGTTGATGGGCTCCATGGAGCAGTCGTAGGGGGCTAAGGAAGAAGGGCTCAGGAAGGAGTTGTTTTCCTGCTTCACCTGGACCAGCGCCAGGCCCTTCTGAGAGAAGTTTCTCAGAAAGGCTTACAATTGTAGTATAAACAGAAATTTTAAAACATTCTACCACCACTCATTGCTGATTTTCACAATCAACAGGGGAAGATGTGACTGCCTTAGTGAACTGAAAGAAAACAGCCAACCTCACAATTTGTCATATTTCTCTTTAAGAAGACATGGCATCCAAAAAAACTTCACAAAATTGTCAAAATTTAAAAAGCTGCATTGAGGACACTGGAATGGAATGTCAAAGCACCGAGCTCATTATGCCCCAATACCTTAATACAAAGTCTCACGTCTGTGGAGCCGCCTCCCTGTTTAACCCAGCAGATAATCTGGCTACCACCTCCGGAAGGGATGAGGCGACGCCATGAGTGATCTGAGGGCCTGTGACCACTTTCACCTCAAAACGCCCCGGATGAACACTTAGTAGAATGCTGCCCTTGGAGGGCTCGGCCCCTGCACAAAGGCCATGTGGGTACTGAGAGCACATAGGAAATACAGCACCACCAGACAAGCTCGGGGCTTCGGAGACCGGGGAAGAAGCCAAGCTAGGAATAACTGGAACTGTGGGAGATGGGTCTCGCTTTTGACCCCCACTCGTGGCTCCCCCTACCAGGAAGTAGGACTCACTGCCTGGGAGCCCGGTGGCCCTCTTACCAGTGTGTGTGAGCATGTGCCTCTGTAGGGAGCTGGCCCAAGGGAAAACCCGGGGACAGTGGGGACAGGTGATCTTCTGCAGGCAGTTGGTGTACGAGTTCCGCTTGGCCCTCAGCAGCTTGTCTTCTGGGGGACTGCCCTGCTCTTCATCACTGGGCCCATGGTGGTCGGCAGGGGCTCCGGCCACCTCATCCTGAGTGTTGTCCTCCGCTGTCTGCAGAAACGGACTGAACTTGTTGGTGTCTGTGGTGGCCAGCATCTTCTCGATGCTGGCAAACTCCCCGCTGGAGTCCAGGTCCACCCCGCCGCTGTTGGCGCGGGGTCGGCTCCTCATCCCCCTTTTCCGGCCCCTCTTCTTCGACGTGCCCGCTGGGCCCTGCTCGGTGGGAGAGGCAGCCTCTGGGCTGCTGGCTGGAGCGGGAGGCTCACTAGACTCTTTTGGGCTGGTGGTGGCAGCGGGGGTGGCGGTGGTGGCGGCTTTGGGGACAGAACCTCCTAAGCTGTCTGAAGCCGTGGTGTTACTGCCAGTGCTTGCGGGCCCTGGGTCCGCCACCTTGGTTTTCAGCAGGGTGGGGGCCGAGGATACAGATGAGATGATCTGGGCAATGGAGGCCAGCGGGGGCAGCTCTTCTGTCACGGGGGGCTTTGGCAAAAGCAGCGGGGGCTTGGGCCGCAGTGGACGCAGCAAGGCTGTGCCACTCAGGAGGGCTGAGCTGCCCACGAGTGGAGGGCTGCTGACCAGGGCTGAGGAGTAGATTGGGACCGCCAGCTGAACAGGGCCCTGCAGGGGCTGTGCTGGGGGTTCCGGGGTGGCCGCCGGAGCAGGGGCCATGGGGCTTTCCAGGATTCCGCTGGGCCCCAAAGTTACAGGAAGAGAAGGGCCGGGTGCTGGGCAGGGAGAGGGCTGCTCGCTGCTCCCCGCCTCCTCCTCAGGCTTCTTGGCTTCGCTGGGAGTGGCCAAATCCTTGTCCCCTTTCCTGAAGTTCTTGGGGATGGACAGGTCGATGGGCTCCATGGAGCAGTCATAGGGGACCAGGGAAGAAGGGCTCAGAAAGGAGATGTTTTCCTGCTTCACTTGGACCAGGGCCAGGCCCTTCTGCGAGAAGTCCAGGGGCTCATTGAAGTCCACCGCAAAGCTACTGGCGGGCTCCAACTTGATCGAGACATGGGGAGGTGGAGGCTGGGTGGGGCCCCTGTGAAGAAAGCCGTTCTGGGGTTCCAGGAAGGCAGTGAGGGGCTTGCAGTCACCAAGGGCAGCGCAGCCACTGTCCTCCCCGCGCCCCGACGCCTCAGCGGCCGGCGCCTCTGCGGGGCCCAGGCCGTCGGCGGCCAGCACGTAGCTCTCGATGTCCTGCTCGGGCACGTGCAGGTGCTGCTTGAGGATGTGGTGGATGCAGTTGCGCTTGGCCGCGAACGCGGCGCTGCACTCCTTGCACTCGAAGGGCTTGCGGCCCTTGTGGCCCCCGCCCAGGCCGCGGCCGCAGTGCGTGCGCATGTGGATGCGCAGGGCACGATAGTGCTTGAGGTCCTCGCCGCACAGCCGGCACACGGTGTCCGGGGCGCAGAAGGCGTCCACCAGCTCGGCCGCGCTGCTACTCACATACTCGATGTTCTTCTCGATATCCTTGCGGGTGGCCTTGAGGTGCTTCTTGCGCAGGTGCCGCTCGCAGTTGGCTTTGACAGTGAAGGGGTAGTGGCAGATCTTGCAAATGTAGGGCCGCTCCCCACTGTGCGTGCGCAGGTGGCGGATGAGCGCGGCCTTGTCGGCGGCGATGTAGTCGCAGATGTTGCACTGGTATGGCGAGATGCCCAGGTGGGAGCGCACGTGGGCACGCAAGACCCCCGAGAAGGCAAACACCTGGTTGCAGAAGCGGCAGGGGTAGAGCACCTTGCGCATGGCGGGCGTCTTCTTGCCGCCGGGCGCTGTCATGAAGGCCTTGAGTTCCCCCTCTGTGATCTCCTGCTTGATCTTGGCCTCCATGCTCAGCGGCAGCAGGGCCTCGATGATGCTGTCCTGCTCCAGCTGCGTCTTCATCTCAGGCTGGCCCGGCAGCTCCGCCCGCGGCTGCTGCAGGGAGAGCCGCGTGGCCGCGTGGGGCTGGGTCCCGGACTTGGACTGCAGCAGGTGGGCGTTGGAGGCCGCCTCCACTGAGCCTTTGAGGAGCTTCAGGGGCGGTGGCGGCAGGCTGGGGCTGATACAGCCCGGGGAAGCCTGCTGGGCGTTGATGAGAGGCGGGGGCGTGGAGGTGGCCACCACCGTCCGTGGTGTGACCAGGGGCTTTGGCTTCAGAGGGGGCATGTGCTTGAAGATCGCCTGCAGTGGGGCGGCAGGGGCCTTGGAGAAGGGCGGAAGACTGATCTGAGGGGGAGCCGAGGCTGCCATCTTCAGAATTTGCTGGATGTCTGCCAGCTCGATGGCCGACTCGCCAGAGATGGGCTTGACCACAATGCTGCTGTCAGGCTGGATGATGAAGCCCTTCTGGAAGGGCTGCAGGGACAGGTGCTTTATGCTGTCCTTGGTCGCGGGGAGAACTGTGAGAGAACCGCCTAGGGAAGCAGCTTCGAAAGGTGACAGGCTCAGCAGGTTGGTGCAGCCGGGGTCCTGAGGTAGCTGACACTTGAGTGTCTGGAGCTGAATTGCCTGGTTGTCATCCGGCAGGGGCTCCTCGGCGGGGGCAGGCCTGACGTCTTTGGTGTGCTGCAGGCCAAGCAAGGCCAGGAAGCCCTTCTGGTCCAGGGCGTCACCAGGCAGGGGCGTGGCCTGCGGCTTTTCTTGACCCTGGTCTGCCGCCACATGGGTCTGCTTGTGCAGAGCCAGTGAGCAGAGCATGGGGAACGCCTTGTCACAGGTGTCGCAGACAAAACGGTGTTGCTCGCTGATGCACCTCCGCAGGTTTGTTTCGCACCAGGCCTATATAGAACCCACCGGTAAAAGCAAGGGAACACATGTGAAGATTGAAAAAATAATCACTAAACGGAGATGCACAAAGTATTTGTTGTACATTTATCCCAGTACACAGCCTTTCCCCATAACATAAAGAGTTCCCAGCCTGGGCAATATAGCAAGATCCCGTATCTCTACAAAAAATAAAAAAAAATTAGCCAGGTGTGTTGGCTCATGCCTCTAGTCCCAGCTACTCCAGAGACTGAGGCGGGAGGATCACTTGAGGCCAGGAGTTTGTGACTAGCCTGGGCAACATAGCAAGACCTTGTCTCTATAAAAAAAAATAAGAAAATTAGCCAGATGTGGTGGTACATGCCTGTGTCCTAGCTATTGGGAGGCTAAGGCAGGAAAAGCACCTGAGCTTAAGGAGGTTGAGTCTGAAGTGACACATGATTATGCCACACTGCACTTTAGCCTGGGCAACAGAACAAGACTCTGCCTTAAAAAAAAAAAAAAAAAAAAAAAAAAGTTGACCTTCTCCTGCTTGCTAACACACTGGACTGAATAAGGAAATCCACAAAGCATCTTAAGAATCATGTTTGCGTGATAACTGATATCAACCCACAGGGTATCTCACTAGAGATTCTGAAGTATAGTTAAGTAACAATACCACAAGGGTAGAATTAATTCTCTTTGTAAAAGTGGGTGCCTTGCAAAACTGAGGTCCAGAGATGTTGGAGAATCAGCTACCCTACCCCTCTATGATTGTGGAAGGGGGATGCTGCCTAGGAGGGTCTATGAGGAATGTCTCCTGGGGGGTGCACACACATGGGTGTGTGTATATGGAACAATCCATTGAGTTTGTACCTTGTACACTTGAACAACAACACTGTTGATACCTTCTATCTCAACTTTTTAAAATGGGGAAAAAAATAATTTCAAGGCAGTTTTAGTTTTATTTATTTATTTTTGAGACTGAGTCTCGCTCTGTCACCCAGGCATGATCTGGGTTCACTGCGACCTCCACCTCCCGGGTTCAAGAGATTGTCATGCCTCAGCCTCCCCAGCAGCTGGGATTATAGGCATGTGCCACTATGCCCAGCTAATTTTTTATACTTTTAGTAGAGACGGGGTTTCACTGTGTTGGCCAGGCTGGTCTTGAACTCCTGGCCTCAAGTGTTCCACTTGCCTTGGCCTCCCAAAGTGCTGGAGTTACAGGTATGAGCCATTGTGCCCAGCCAGTTTCAAAGTAGTTTTAGCAGGTGCTTTATTAGCAGTGAATATATATGGCTCTTTTCTTATTCAGGTCAATAATGACCCAAATTGTTTTTAATAGAAACCACAACGCTGGAATATTTAGCTGCAATGCAGATAGTAAAGAAAGATTTTTTTTTAAAATCCCACGAATTCCGATTATCATAGGACTGGGGTGTTTTACAATTCACCACTTTTATTTTATTTAAAAAAAAAATTTTTTTTTTCTTAGACGGAGTCTCGCTCTGTTGCCCAGGCTGGAGTGCAGTGGCGCGATCTCGACTCACTGCAACCTCAGCCTCCCGGGTTCAAGCGATTCTTCTGCCTCAGCCTCCCGAGTAGCTGGGATTACAGGTGCATGCTACCACGCCTGGCTAATTTTTGTATTTTTAGTGTAGACAGGGTTTCACCATGTTGGTCAGGCTGGTCTTGAACTCCTGACCTCATGATCCGACTGCCTTGGCCTCCCAAAGTTCTGGGATTAGAGGCATGAGCCACCACGCCCGGCCCTAAAATTTTATTTTATTTTTGAGGCAATCTCTCTCTGCCACCCACGCTGGAGTGCAGTGGCACGATCATGGCTCAATGCAGCCTCAACCTCCTGGGCTCAAGTGATCCTCCCACCTCAGCCTCCCAAGTAGCTGGGACTACTAGGTGCACACCACCACGCCTGGCTAATTTTTAAATTTTTTGTAGAGATAAAGTCTTGCTGTGCTGTCCAGGCAGGTCTCAACCTCCTGACCTCAAATGATCTTCCTGCCTTGGCCTCACAAAGTGCTGGCGTTACAGGTGTGAGCCACTGGGGCCTGGTCTACAACTGACAACTTAAACCTCAAAGACCCAAGAACGGACAAAAGGCACAGAAGAGCTAGACTGATGCACAGTTCATAGGATATTCAACCCCAAACAAGCCTATGCAGCCTTCTCAACCCAACAACCCAAGGGAGACCGAAAGGGCCAACAATAATTTTAAGAAAAAAGGTGTTACAAAAAAAGACAAAGCCCAACCGACATTTTAAGGAAAGAAACCCTGAGGAGAGGAAGTTCCCATGGTCTAACTGTGTGGACCATGGAAGGCAGTTGCTGGTTGCTTCCATGGGCTGATCAGAATACCTGAGAAATGCGAGGAAACTTCCTACAGGAGAAGTCCGTGAATCCTAAGTCGTGGAAGCCAGCAGGAATTGAAGGGTTGTTCTGTATGAAAGGTCTGCCCATTGCATCCCTGGGAAGTTGTTTGTGGACAAGCGCGTTGTGACGCAGCAGTCCTCGATGTGTTCGAAAGGTGACACAACAAATGTCACATCTAGGAGAGGAAAGGGAGAACATATGAGGCAGAAAGGGAGAGCATATGAGGAAGCAGTTAAGTCAGAGTTTCCACTCTTCCAGACTTAAGTTTTTGTTGATTCATTTCAATTGAGTAAAATAAAAATGATATGATGTCAAGAAGCCAGGCTGCATGGTTAGCACCAAAAACCTCTTCCTTTTAAAAAAGTTGTATTCTATCAACTTCTGGATACCAAATCTTTGCAGGCAGCACAAGGTGTACGTACGACCTAAACACCCACAGTCTGAGCACAAGAAGACAGCTGGGATCCTGAAGCCACCATGGCCGACCTGCTCGCTCTCGCCTCGATCAGGCATTAATGGGATCATGTCAGAGGTTTCTCTCTCCCTGAGTTCACTGGATTCTAATTATTGTAAATGTTTAAAAGTCAGAAGAGCATACATTTAAGTAGTATCTAGGGCAATCAATCAGCATCCTTGGCATCTGATAGGGATAAAAATTATTAAATTTTCCAATCTAATTAGAAGTGATGGTGATTGTGCATTAAGTTGTGGTATTAGCATCATCATTATCTGAATGATAACCATGGTCCTCATGGACTGAGCCCAGGCGCCCTGACAGCTCAGCACATATGACAACCCCAGCAGGCAGGTGCGTATCATGACCCTCATCTTCCAGATGAACACCGGTGATCAAAAATACGAAGCGATGTGACTCAGGCCCCACAGCCAGTAAGAAGCACACACAAAATGTCAGCCTGAGTTCCTGCTCCCACCCATGCTTATCACAAGGCTGTCTCCCCTTCCTTGAAAGACTCCCACAGAGGCAGTCCACTTCAAAATCTGACCCTTCATTTCAGAGATGATCTTTGACATCCTAAATGTTCTGGGCCACACAGATGCATAGCAAACACCACTTTATAATATTGTCTCTGCTTTTCAGACCAGTATTGTCTTCTAGGTCTTCACTGAGAACCATATTAAAAATTTTACATCAGTGTGCAGATGGGTGGATAAAAACAAAATACCATCGTTATGGTATTATCAACATCCCCTAGACTTGCATGGAATGTAGTAGCCACCAAAGCCACATGTAGCTATTCAAATTTAAATTAAAGTTCCTCAGTCACTTCAGCCTTCTTTTAAGGGCTCAACTGCATCGGGAAGCACAGACACAGTATGTTTCCAAGATCACAGGATATTCTGTTGGACAATGCTGTATACCGAGCATCATTCCATGTATTTATGTGTGCAAGCGTATCTGACCCTCACCACCGCTAAGGTAGCTCCTTTTATCACTGTTTTAGCCAGGCAAAGCCACTTGCTTACGTCCACACTGCATGTACATCAGTGAAAACTTTTTTGAGTTGAGAGTCTTCTCTGGAAATAAAGAGATAACGAAGTCAGCCACGAAGCAGCTGTGCTCACTTTCAGGAAGCACTGAAAGGAAGAAGTGCCAGTATGTGCCGCCCTGCTTGCCTTATCGCGCTGTAGCGGGCACAGCAGAACCCGGTCCTGCTGTGCATGCTCCTCCCCTGGCTCCCCTGTTCAGGAAGGGCCTCTCCTGAGCACTCTCCTGTCACTGCTCAGCTACCTTTGGAACCCCAAACCCGGGTTCCCATGAGCCACTCAAAACACAGAGTTCCTTTTGAGGGAATTCTGCTGAGCTCACCACTGTGGTCAAGGCCCAGGGAAGGGACAGATCTGGATAATGAAGAACACCTTTAGGGGCTGGAAGTCCTCACACTGCGGGCCCAGATGTCAAAGTACCCAGCGGTCTAAATCACAGGCCATGAGACAGATCCTGCGGGGAAGCAGAATGGACACAGCCCCTCTGGGTGAGGTTCTTTCTGGCTGAAATACGTTCAAGCTCTGAGCTGTGCACACAGAGAGGACAGTGACCCTTGGAGGCAACAACAGCCTCTGTCCTGGAGATAGAGCTCCTTCCTTCTCCCACCCCCACTTCATTTCCCCCATGCTCAAGTTCAATTGCACCCTCCCCATGGTCGCCAATCCATCACCTCGCCACCACTTGGCTGAAAGATCTATATTGGACTGAAAGGATAAGAGATATGTCTGAATTGGGAAAATCTAACTCTGATCAGAGATATTTGATATATTCACAAGTGACTGAATTTTTTAGTTATGATAATATTTTGGCTATGCTTTTTAAAAAGGTTCCTTTTAAAAAAAGATATATAATGCAATATTTATAAATAAAACATAGGATATCTGGGATTTGTTTTGAAATTACCTGGGTTGGGGAAGAGAGAAAACAAAATTGGCTGTGAGTTGATAATCCCTGAAACTGGATAAGGGTACATCGAGTTTATTATACCAGAATTTTGCAAGCCAAACTAAAGCAGAATCCTAGATTTTTACGATTATGGCATTCAACTGTGCACAGGTATCTTACCTAGCCTAAATTTGACAGCAACTAAAAAAAAAATATTCTGTCCAATCTGCACTGTAACTAAGCCTTTCCAACATAAGTTTCCACAGAGACTATTCTTTTCTTTTATTAAAACAACATTCCATCAGCTTATATAAAATTTAATTAAATTATAAGAAATTATTACAAGTATTACAGACATAAACAGGTTGGGAAGAGACTTTTCGTAGCATACAAGTCAACTGCAAAAGGCAGGCAGGTAGGACTGAGAGGTGGCTGCAAACTTTCTGAAATGTGTACCGCTTCTATAAAAAAGTTTTCGTATGTGCTCCACATGTGTTTGTTGTTTAGCTGAGAATGTGTATGTGTGTACGTAGGTAGTATATGTATTTATGTACATATGTATTTGCATATATGTAATGTGCCAGGCACATTACCAAATAGACATTTTAAAAGGGTGAGATAAAAAATATATTTTTTTCCTTGTATCCTAGAGATCTTCCTGAATACTCTTCACCTTTTTTTTTTTTTTGAGACAAGAGTTTTGTTTTGTTGCCCAGGCTGGAGTGCAATGGCGCAATCTTGGTTCACCGCAACCTCTGCTTCCCCGGTTCAAGTGATTCTCCCGCTTCAGCCTCCTGAGTAGCTAGGATTACAGGCATGCGCCACCACGCCCAGCTAATTTTTGTGTTTTAGTAGAGACGGGGTTTCTCCATGTTGGCCAGGCTGGCCTTGAACTCCTGACCTCAGCTGATCTGCCCGCCTCGGCCTCCCAAACTGCTGGGATTACAGGCGTGAGCCATCGTGCCCGGCCTTTTTTTTTTTTTTTTTTTTTTAAAAAGAGAGTCTTGCTCTGTCGCCCAGGCTGCAGTGCAGTGGCATGATCATAGCTCATTGCAGCCTTGAACTCCTGGGCGCAAGTGATCCTCCCACCTCAGCCTCCCTTCATAGCTGGGACTATAGGCATGTGCCACTATGCCTGGCTAATTTTTAAAATTTTTTGTAGAGACATGGTGTCACCATGTTGCCTAGGCTGGTCTCGAACTCCTGGGCTCAAGCAATGCTCCTGAATTGGCCTCCCAAAGTGTTGGGATTACAGGTGTGAGCCACTGTGCTTGGCTACTCTCCACTTTTGAGACTTCTGTACTAGTGCACAGCCTATTGGTTATGAATATTTAGTGTGACTGGCATTAATAAGTAGGTTTTATGAAGGGAATGGAGAATGAATGCCTCTTAATATGGCAATTAGATTTAGAATTTACTGCACCTCTATGGTTGTAGTGATTTTTTTTTCTTTTTTGAGGCAGGCTCGCTATGTTGCCCAGACTGGCCTTGAACTCTTGGGCTCAAGCAATCCTCCCGTCTCAGCCTCCCTAGTAACTAGGGCTACAGGTGTGCACCCCTACACCTGGCTTGAATTTTTAATAACATTGAGGTTTCTTTTTGTCTCTTATGCCTGTGTCTGTCTTCTTCATTCTCTCCCTCACCCTTAAATCCCTCCTGTTTCTGGACACCTTCATACGTAGTAGGTGATGAAGGCATGACAATAAAGACGTGGCAGAATTATTCAGTATTGATCACAAACTCTGTGTCCCTGGGAAGGCAGCTGTGGAACAGTGGGTGGTAGGGGGATGTGGGCTCAGGGACCAGAGACACCAGGTGGGGATCAGGGAGTTCAGATTGCGTGACCTTGGACAACTTATTTCCATGTGCACTTCAGCTGCCGGCTATGTAAAATTTCCCAAACATGCCAAGAGATAAGAATCCCCACATGACCTTGTTAAAAAAAGCAGACTCCTAGATCACCCCAGACCAACTGAAATCAGAATAACTAGAAGATGGGCCTAAGAATCTGTATATGAACAAGCACACCAGCGGATTCTTATAGTTAGATAAGTTTGGAAAATATAGTGAGTTAGGTGTGAGAATCTGCTATCTAGAAACGTCTTAAACTACAAGCCTGTTAGAATGTTAGAACTCCCAGAGAAAAGAAATTACCAATACTTTACTCATCTTTGTCACTTCTCTCCTGTTCCTTTCCTTCTTCACACCTCAGTTTCCCTTCTCATCTAAAACGGGGGGATCTCTGCAGTTACTGTGAATAACAAAGTGCTTTGAAAACTGCAAAGTACTTTTCCAAATTTAGTCATTATGTTATTGTACTAGGGAAAAAAAGAAATCAGGAAAAGCCCGTTTCCTGGCACGTTTTAGCTAACGTGAAAAATCAGGAAAACCTGAGTTTTAATTTCAAAGGAACATGTTCTCTCTTCTCACTTTCAAGAACTTCACAATCGTCCTTACTACTTCTGTCTAACTGCAAAACTCATGGGGAGAAAAGTGTTCTTTCTGGCCAGTCTTCTGCCTCATCCCACCTGCTCCCTTCACCTGCCTCCTGAAAAGAAGTGCATGCTCTCCCAGCCTGCACAAGCACTCAACCTCCTAACAGAGTCTAAGCAAGGTGATCCACACTTCACACCCTTTTCATGGAATTTCAACTAAGGCACTCCTATAAGTCAAAAGACATAAAACATGAAAGTGGCAGAGAAGAAATTTCTGCTTTGAAACCAGAAGCATGTGGTGCAGCTGGTTAAAAGGAAGAAACACCCACAGAAAAACACTTGCGGCCGGGCGCGGTGGCTCACGCCTGTAATCCCAGCACTTTGGGAGGCCGAGGCGGGTGGATCATGAGGTCAGGAGATCGAGACCATCCTGGCTAACAAGGTGAAACCCCGTCTCTACTAAAAAAAAATACAAAAAATTAGCCGGGCGCAGTGGCGGGCGCCTGTAGTCCCAGCTACTCGGGAGGCTGAGGCAGGAGAATGGCGTGAACCCGGGAAGCGGAGCTTGCAGTGAGCCGAGATTGCGCCACTGCAGTCCGCAGTCCGGCCTGGGCGACAGAGCGAGACTCCGTCTCAAAAAAAAAAAAAGAAAAACACTTGCCTCCCTGCCTCACACTCAGCACCTGTTGATAGACCTTAAATAAAACCAGTGTGGAAAACCACCACCCAGAAACACTTGGATCAGCCCTATCAGGTGGAGACGCGAGGGTTCATCCAGCCTTCCCAAGGCCCCAAGGAGAAAGCTTTGCAACCTTGTTTCTAAGCAGCTCTTCAAGGACAATAGAGGCCACTGTAAATCTGTGGAGGGAGCTGCTGGATGCAAAGCCGGCTGCAGGCATCAGGGTATTTGCAAACCTCCTTTGGGCTTGTCAATCTCCATTAAGACCACAGCCACTGGCCAGGTGGTCCCCACGACTCTCTCCTCAACCCGTCTGTGGCGTATCTCCACTCTGCCAGGGGCTCATAAAGAGCACGATTGCAAAATATTAATATTTAGATGGGGCAGAACTGCACTTAGAGCCACAGGAGAGGGGAGGGCTGTAGGACAATTTCGTTTTGCAAGAGATCTTGACAATGTGCCAGAGGAAAGGTTTACAAATCGGATTGGCTGCCTTTTGATTTTCTGGCAACAGAGATAACTCGATGTTGGAAACAGGATAACTTTTCCAAATGGAAACTAACTTTGCTGTCAGTAAAGTAAATGTATTTGGGGGAAGTGTATCTCTTTGTAGAATTTAAAGAAAATTAACAAAACCCCACTGACCCTTTCAAAAACAAAACTTTCTTTTTCTTTTAAAATCACACTACATTACTTTTAGGAAGAAAAAAAAAATCATCAGTGGAAAAATCTCCAAATGACAGATTAAGGTTAGATTACACACGGAATCCAAAATGGACATTCAGCCTGACCTCAACTTACAGGAGCTGCTTAGCATATGTGAACTCCAAATCACTGCTCACAGAAATAAGTGTTTCTGTACCAAGACAGTGCACAAGAGCCTGTTTCACCCAGAAAACACCTGCATTCTAGCACACGTTGGCCAGTGTTTCTGTAAGAGGATAAGAAACTTTAGAGTGCTGGAGTAGATTGGACCATTCCCCACCCCCTGTATGACACGCCAGTCGCTGAACTGTGGGTCCTGCCTCCAGTGGGGCTGCTCCACTGTGGAGGTTCCTATTATGGGGTGGAGGGGCTCTAGCAGTTCTCAGGGTAGATGGTAGGAGGGGGCTGTGGTGTTGGGGTGTGTGGAATTGGGGCTCCCTGGAACAGCAGAGGTGAAGCAGCTGCCTGCACTTATCCTCCATCCCTTCCTTCCTCCCTTAGTATCAACTGTAATGTCCCTGGCGGCACTGGGTAGGGTGAAGTAGAGAGAAGGGCTGGGGGTCCCAGTGGAGGAAGACGACTCCCAGGTCATAAGGTAAGCTCTTTCTACATGGCCCCTGGTATGTAAAGGCACAGATGGCAGGAAGGTGGCTGCCAACACCAGGGGCCGGGAACCACGATCACAGAGAGTCTCTGATATGTGCTTAGAGAAGTGCCTGTGGTTGTCAGTGACTACACAGGCACTGTCACAGCCCTTACTGTCCCTTTTCCAAAAATCAAACAGACAAGCCAAATCCCACAGCATACTGGCTCTGACCCTTGCTGGGCTGGAAAGGGCACAGCGCTAACATGGTCAGAGAAGTCTGACTCCCACACGAGCTGGTGAACTCCACGCTGTCCTGAAGTCACAGAGACCCAACCCGCCAGCCACTGCCTGACCACGTGCCTGAGTCACCAAAGGCAGGAGGTACATAGGGCGAGGGGTGGGACCAACCAGCTCCAACAGGTCAAGAAAATACACTCAGTTGCTAGCTGGGGTTTTGTCCTTTCAATCCTCAAGGGACTTTAATACAACAAATAATGTTCTTATTCACACTCAGATTCACTAAGTCTTAAGAAAACAAAAGTAAATTAAAATTTTATTTTATTTTTATTATTTTAGAAACAGCGTCTCACTCGGTCAGCCAGGAGGGAGTGCAGTGGTGCGATCTCAGCTCACTGCAACCTCTACTTCCCGGATTCATGCGATTCTCATGCCTCAGCCTCCCCAGTAGCTGGGATTACAGGCCTGAGACACCGTGCCTGGCTTTTTTTTTTTTTTTTTTTTTTTTTTTTTTTGTATTTTAGTAGAGATGGAGTTTCGCCGTGTTGGCCAGACGGGTCTCCAACTCCTCACCTCAAGCGATCCCCTTGCTTCGGCCTCCCAAAGTACTGAGATTACAGACATGAGCCACCGTGAGGCCCTAAAATTTTAAAAAGCATTGAATTAATGGCTGTCTGTGCTACACAGTCTGCCTATTTAGGCAGGGCACAGATATCTGTTCTTCTGACAGCAAATGTCCTTGGAAGAAGACAGGATATCCTTTTTTTTTTTTTTTTTTTTTTAAAGAAAGTTGCACAATTCTGAGCTGGGATAGAAATGCAGTGTGATAAATATGTAAATATGTTGTTATGGTATGGACATTCTCTAGAGGGAGTAATGGTAAAGAGGCAGCCAAAAATAGATCCAGCAGTTTTGATACCTCACAGCAGAGTTAAGGTACTTATCAGGAATAACTATCACTGTTAAAAGCATCAGCCCTGAAAAGGGAATCTGCAATCTGTAGCCAGTAACTGAGCCTAGTACCTAAAATGGGCAGGGTGCATGCCCAAAGGCAAATTTATCAGCAATGTGATTTACAGAAATGGAAAACAAGGACACCAAAAGTCTCTTTTTTTTTTTTAACTTCTTAACCTTGTGGCTAAACAGTTTTGGGATTAGCTCCCCCAGTGCTCACTAACAGTAGTATTTTATTCATCTGGCGACCTTAACTCTCCAGAATAAGATGAAAATCCCAAAGTCAACAAACAGGCCTTAACAGAGTGGCCCAGAGATGAGAAACCACTCAGGTGCTTCCTTGGGCTCTCTTCTCTGTCATGTAACTCCATCAAGTCTACCATTGTGACAGCTGAGGGACAGATATCTGACCTCCTCACAATCAGCAAGAAGGGTGAATTTTCTTTTTTTTAAACTATGCTAAGCATATTTTTGAAAGGCTGCATTGGCAAATTTCAAACATCAGGAAACTCACTTCCTTAGAACCCTAGGGTTCCCCCAACAATCTAAAGAAAGTGATGTGTTGTTCTGTTACATAAAGGTGTCGAGTTCCTTCACGTTTCTAAATATCTGCTTTTCACACAGTGGGATTAAGAAACGTGGGAAGCAAGACTCAAACCAAATTTAAAGAGCCACTCCATTTCCCAATCTTTACAAAAGCGAAAACTAGATAAAAACAGCTGTTTATAAGAGTAAAGGACAAATTGCTTTCATGTTCTCTGCCAAGTGAATCGCACCTGGAAGTTGACTCCTTTTCAATTCCATTGGAATGGGATAGCCATAGAGTGCCACAACACCTATAACTGTAAATGTTGGAAGGTTTAAAATATCTAAAAATTTTAATTTTATATAAAATTTTATATAAAAAATACATTCTAAATAATAGTATCAGAAGAAAAATTTCATTTAGTATTTGTTACACTCTGAGGATTGTGGATTATCTCCCTTCATCCTCACAACAGCCTTCAAATCTATTTTCCAGATAGGGAAACCAAGTCAGCACTTGCCCGAGGTCACAGAGCTGCCAGGCGGCAGGCTGGGACGGAGCCGGCTGGCTTCGTTCCACTCTGCCAGGCTGTGCGTTCAGAGGACAGCTATTTGCAGATGCCCTGGCTCCTTATGTGACCCACACATCCTTAATGCCTGGACGCTGGCTCAGCTGGGAGCATTTCCTAATGCTGACACTCCCTGCTCCCTGCAACCCTCATCAGAAGAACCTGCGAAATACCTGCCGAGAAGCTGCCACTCAGCTTGACCATTTCCTTCAGATACTGAATTCCTTCCTCATTATTGTGTTTTAATGGAGAGACTGGCATTCCTTCTCAAAAGGGATTTCATGCTTCATTTTTCCTGTTCTGTCTCCAGAGGCCAGAAGGAGTAAGTGCAAACAACCTCTCCTCTAGAGTCCCAACCAACTCACACATTCTTCTCTCCTCAGCCCACCCTCCCCTGCCCATCTCGGGGCAGAGAACTGACATCCGACAGCTGCACTAATCTCTCCCAGTTGCTGCGAGCAACAGTGATGGCCCTGTGACAGGGCCCTGGCCAGGCAGCCGTCCCTCCCCATGACCCAGGAACCCGCCCAGGCTGCACACAGCAACCCAATGCCCCGCTCTGACTGTTCAACCAAACCAGCGTGGCGTGAAGCACTGGGCAGAGTCTGAGGGACTTCACAAAGGGTGTGTAGTGGCTACCGAAGCTGGGTGGGCCACTCCTTGCTCTGGGCCTTGGGTGGGGGACAGGGTAGTCCTGACCAAGGCTTCTGTACCTGTCAGGTGAGGGGTGGGGGCAGTCTTCCCCTCCTTGAGGGACCTCTGTTCATAGCCCCCGGAAGTGTTTAAAATCTGTTTCTGCCTGCCCAAGCCTCAGACTCACAGACTCTTCAACAGAAGATGCTGACAAATATTTTATCTTTTCCCTGTTTTTAGGATGACATTTGACAAGGGTGGGATCAATCCCGGGTACATGAGGAGTCTTGGGGTCTCTGTAGGTGGTAGGCGTGTGGTGAAGGGAGATAAACATTCCTTGGAACAGTGGAGAATGCAGGAAAAAGAAGGCATTTCCCTTTGGTGGCCCCACTACTAAGATACAGGAAGGGGGTGGTCTCAGCTGCCCTCACTACTCATGGAGCCGAGGTTCCTGTCAGAGCCCCCTTGGGCTCCCTATGTACCAATTCCCAACAGAGATTTAATGTCATCACCTTGAACTCAGAGATGACCAGGGTCAATGAAGTACCAGACCCGGTTGGGCCCTGACCCAGAGGAAATTAAGTGAAGCACCACAGCCTCTGATGTAAAATCCCAAGGAGAAGTTTTGCATCCACCAGATCCCTCTGCCTGCCTGGAATCTGAGGGAAATGTGCCCTCCTGGGCCCTGAACTCACCCCTGAACTTTGTTTTATAACCAACCAGCTTGTTTTGTGCCTAGCCCGTACCCTGTCTCAAACATCACTCTTTCCTTCAAGCCTGGGCAAGTGCCTGGCACACAGTACAAACTCAATCATTTGCTGGGTACATTTTAACTGAAATGATGTTAACGTTACTTATTACCCGAACTCCTTTCATCAGGGGGCCATCTAAGATTACACAATAACTTTGGCCGAGTTTCACCCTCAGCAGTGGCTGTGCCAACAGGGTGACCATCCAGCTGCCGCCCTTGGGCCTTCTTCACACACAAGACATGGCTCCGCGTCAAAGCTGCAGCCCTCCCTGCCGTAGGTGGCTCATCTGAAACCTCTCTGTGGGCTGTTAAGCACCTGAAATGTGGCTGGTGTGGTGCAGCCAAGACGGGCTGGGGTCACGTCACACACACCAGATTTCAAAGAGTCAGTACATGGAAGCAAGAATGTGAACCACATCACTCACCATTTTTCTATTGATTATGTGTTGACATTATATTTTGATGATACTGGTATACTCGATGAAGCATTATTCATTTTGTCTCTTTCTTTTTACTTTTTAAAACATGACTACTAGGGCCAGGCAGGGTGGCTCACGCCTACAATCCCAGCACTTTGGGAGGCTAAGGTGGGCAGATCACTTGAGCCCAGGAGTTCAAGACCAGCCTGGGCAACAAAGGGAGACTCTGTCTCTGCAAAATATACAAAAAAATTAGCTGCATGTGACGGCACATGCCTGTGGTTCCAGCTACTTGGGAGGCTGAGGTGGAAGGGTCACTTAAAAGCCTGGGAGGTCAAGGTGCAGTGAGTCATAATCATGTCACTGGACACCAGCCTGGGTGACAGAACGAGATCCTCAAAATGAAATGAAATGAAATAAAAAACGGCTACTAGAAAATTCCAAGGACGTGCGTGGCCCAGATTCTCTTGCTGGCCGGGCTGACCTGGATGCTTCTCCCAGCTGACTTCATTCACAGCAGGGTATGGCCAGTTGCTCAGTTCTATTCTGATGGACATTCAATGCCCAGCAACATCCTCACACAAAGGATGTCCTCTGTGTAGCCGCCTGCTCTCTTGAACACTCCGTCCCTCACCTCCGATTCCAAACGCCAGCTCGCCATAGCCTGACTCCGCTTCCTCCTCTGCCTTCTCTCCCTCATCTGGGGAGCCCTGGGGGAAGGGGGATGACTGACCATTGGTCATGTCAGGGTGAAGCTAACACCTGATCCTAAGAGCTGGCATCTCTACAGGCAGCTTTGTGTCTTCCTTTTGTTCTACGACAACACTTCATTCATTTGAAACACAGTGGAGTGGAGGGAAATGGAGTTGAGATTTATATGAGTTTGGATTTCCAACACTTTTTATTAAGGAACAATGGGCACCTTGCCAGTGTTGGTGGGGAGTGGAGAAGGGGGATAAGTGCAGGAGAGTGAGAAGGCAACAGCTGTTTTGAGTTACAAACCTTCAGTCTAAGCGGGTAGCATCCCACTGTGGTTCTGCTGCCTCTGGGATTTGAAATGGAGCTGGTGTCTATTTTAGTTCTGGGTTAACAAGCTGTCTCTCCCACTAGCTACTGTCCCAGTTCACCGCCTGGCTAGGCCCCGCTGGCGCAGGCTGCCCCAGGCCTCCTATGATAGCAGCCTATTATGGGGATCGGCAGAGCAGAGAGGAGCAAAGGGACATTAACCATGTTCTGTAATCAACTCTTTTTGGTTTCCAGATGCCAGCCCCACCCCATCTAGCAACAATTATAGATAGAGGCACAGGGCAGGGGTGGCCTGTGTGCCCCCACAAAGGATGCCTGGCAACTCTCTTCTTACGGGCCACCCCTCAGCCACAGCTGTGGGGCCAGCGAAGTGAGAGCCTGCCCAGAGGGGCCAAGTCCCTGTCAGGTTACAAAATTGTTAAGCCAACCCCTCACCAAACACAGGGCATTATTAGTAAACAGGTGAGGAAAATCCTCTAGGTCGGCTAGCTGGACGTGCAGGACTGAGGGTTCAACTTCACAGCCTGTCTACAGCACCAGCCCTACCATCACTGTGGATTAATCACCCACCAAATCCTACCCATCCCAACTATGAAAAAAATGACGAGCGTCCAGTGCAATGCCCATCTCCAACCTCTGTGCAGAGGAAGCCTGGCCTCTCCCTGGAGCAGGTCCTTGTTCAGAGGATTGCTCCAGGAGAACCTCGTCCCTCACCCAGGTCAGCATTTCAGAAGGAGACACCTGATCTGCCTCTATCGCTGCCACACACCATGCTATGCAGGCTTGGACTGCTCAGAAATCTCTTGTGGGAGCCACATTATTTTTCCTGCAGAACAGAATTATCTAGAAGGGGGTAAATAATAGTTTCTAAGGTGGTATCTGATCACAGAATAAAATATGAAGTGAGATGAAGTATACAGACGGGCTCAGAGACAGCCTGTATTCACTGCAGCACTGGCTCTGAAGGCTGCTGGGTAGGAACGTGAGCAGGAGCTGGGGTCCCCTGTGCTGTTTCTGCCTCTGCTCATGATTCTCTTTGGGAGGTTCAGCTGGTAATGTCATCTCTGCTCACTCAGGTCCTTGATCTAGAGAACTATTTCAGTATTTGCCACCCACCACAAGCCCACATCCTGGGGATGCTGTGAACATTCCTGAACCTGTGAAGTTTCCCAAATCTCTCAGAACTAGAGGGCCTACACAGGGAGGGGCCATATGCCTTTTCCTGGTAGACAGAATAAAACAACTGTTAAGAGGCAGGCTTTGGGGCTGAGCATGGTGGTTCATGCCTATAATCCCAGCACTTTAGGAGGCCAAGATGGGGCAGATCACCAGAGGTCAGGAGTTTGAGACAAGCCTGGCCAAAATGGTGAAACCCCATCTCTACCAAAAACACAAAAAATTAGCCAGGTGTGGTGGTACACACCTGTAATCCCAGCTACTCGGGAGGCTGAGGCAGGAGAATCACTTGAACCCAGGAGGCAGAGGTTGCAGTGAGCCAAGATTGCGCCAGTGTACTCCAGCCTGGGTGACAAAGCAAAACTTTTCTCAAAAAAACCCAAAAATAAATAAATAAATAAAAATAAGGTTTTAGGAACACAAGGATTATCTGGTCCTGCCCTCCTTCAATTTGAAGGATGAGAAAACAGGTTCAGATGTAGCTGGCTGAGGTCCTGTATGAGCAGAGGGAGGAGTGGGGTCTAGGCCTGACAACCAGTCTGTGCCCAACCCAATGATCAGGCAATTTCTTGAGACTGGGGAGTTCCGTAAAGACATTTTATAGCACTTCAATTGTTCAGCAGTTTAAATTCTTCGTAAGTTCCTTTTTCCCTCACCAATGGAAAAATGTCAGGCTAATGTGATTAAGGATAATCATATTTGACCTGGCATCAAGTTACTGTACAATTTGGATTTTCCCTATAACATAAGTCTTCAGCTTGCTCAGACTTTCCCATTCCTAAGTCACAGCTAAACATGTGTCTTCAAGAAGGAAATCTGGTCCATATATCAGGGATTCAGGCAAACAGATGCCCAAATTCCTGCATTCCCAAGCTGTCTTCTAAAACCCAAAGCTGCACGCGTGTATGGCCCTGCTGTGTGCTCGTGACCCTGCAGCTGTGTGTGACTTCCAGGATGGGCTACTTTCAAGTCTCTCAACGACAACAGGGGTTCCTAAGTAGTTCTTTGTTCTTTCCAATGCTTAAAATCTCTGGCAGTTAACAGTTTTAAAGTGGCAATTCTCTAGGAATAACTTCCAAATCTATCAACTCATCAAGAATACAGAACTAACGGTTGCCTGATGAGTTATCAGAGAAGGTAAAGAAAGAAAGATGAGTCCCCTGAATTCTTGTGGGAAGTCCTGTCACTACCCGTGTTTTCTGCCTGGCAAGGCTGAGGATCAGAAACACTGGAGCTGCGAAGCCCCTACAATTGAAGCTGGATGGCAGAGCAATCACCTGTCACTTTTTTATTGAAACATATCAGGTTCCATTTTTGGCCAAGTGTCCTGCACTAAGTAGAACTTTCTCTGACCCCAAAATGGCTTCTCAGGTTTCTGTGCTATCAGGTCCAGCTCAGTTCAAACACTTCGGAGTGCCTATGATGGACCAGTGCTGTGCCAGGGGTATCCAACACGTGGGCTGTCCCTGTTTGGGCCACATATTCATGCATTGCTAATAGTCATTTGAGTTGCAACATCTTTTGCGAAGAAAATCTATCTGTTGTCCAAGAACACCCATGATAGCAGACTCCCCAGTGTTCAGGGGCTCACTGGTGACTACTCAAGGGGCTTTGCTGAGAGAAAGAAGGCACAGTGAACCATGTGAACACCCTGTGGATACAGCCACCCTCTGACAACTCTCAGCCAACTTTTTCCCCACACCGATACTTTCTTAACTGCCTCCCTAATGTTGTTGTGCCCAAGTTCAATCACTGGAGCCCGGTGTGGAGTAACGGGACTTAAGAACATTGTCACATGCCAGGAGAAACAGGAATGAACAAGGTCTAGTTCACTCTTTCTCCTACCTTAGTGGGTTATCTGAATGGGTCTCCATGTGGGTCTCCAGTCCATACTTGCAAACAAACTCCTTGAAACATACTGGGCAGTGAAAGACTTCATCAGCTTTCTTCTCCAAGTCACCTGACTGCCCGTCTTCTACCATCTGAGGGAAAAGGAAAAAAGTGAAGTCATGAAGGTCTCCCACATGGGATGGCTTCGGAAGAGAGGCCAATGCTAAATTCAGAGATTTACAATAATAAAAGGCAAGGGTTGCATTATCCAATCCTGATTATTAAGGACCTGACCATTCATTCATTCACACAACAAATACTCCCAGAACGCTACCATCCATCCATCCATCCATCCATCCATCCATCCATCCATCCATCCATCCATCTGTCCATCCATCCATCCACCCACCCTCCCACCCACCTGACAAGTACTTTTGCAGCACCGGGTATCTGCCAGGCACTGGTAATAAAAAAGTGAGGACAAAAGAGTCCCGAATGCTTATGAAGCTTGCGCTTTAGCTAGAAAAAACAGGTAGAAAGCATGGAAACAATTGTAAAAGCTCTTCATTTCATCTCTGGGCTCAGCAGAGGGGCTCAAGAGGAAGTGCACACTGGTACTCTTTTCTTAGACACTTTACAGAAACAGTATGGGAAAACACACGTTAAGAGCTTAGGATGTATGTCTGCCAAGTCTCCACACTGAGAAAATAAAGATTAGTGGTATTTCTGACAGAAGTCCCCTGAGCAGGTGAATCTGCACTGGGAGCCAAGAGGACCTTTTTAGCTGGTGCTGGGTCTTCTCTCTCTGACTCGGCATCGTGACTCAGTTTCCTCTTGGAGGACAATCGCCTACGTTTCAGAGGAGATGGAGGGGCTGTGGCTGTGGCACTGTTAGGGTCCTTCTCATGGATCTTCATATGTCTGAAAAGAACAAACACACACACAATGTGATCTAACAAAGAAGTCAGTTCATTTATGTTTTTAATATTTTATATTTAGGCACTGGTACTTAAATTTTCTTTAGTTAAGAGATATGAGGTATAATTTATACAGTGACTTCTATCTTTTTAAAACTCTATAATCTCCTTGAACCTCTCTTAAAGCTCTTACAAGTGCTGTCCAAAAGCGTTGCTTAATGTCTTGCTGTTCACTGGAAGACATTCATGAACTTAACTGACATTAACAAGATGAAACAAACTATCTGGTGACCTGTTCCACTCATGCAGACAAAAAGTACCATTTTAGGACATGGAATTCTATAGAATAAAGAATTCCCAGATACCTAAACTGTTCCACTAGTTCATAAACTAAGTGATAATGCTATCCTTGCCCCAAGAACCCACTGCCCATCTATCTGTTGTACACATCTCTCTTTTCTGCTTTGGAAGCATTTTGGTGGTCAAATTTGAGACATGCTAACAGAGCAAATGTCCAGAGTGCTTAAGACCTGAAAGCAGTTCCCTGTTGTTCGTAGTATTATGTGGATTTATAGATCACAAGAGTTAACTCGGACAGTGGAATGAAAAAGTTACATGTGGTAACTCTAATATCTACAGGACTAGGCTACCCATATAGTTAAGTATTACATAAAATATGTGCATGTCTACTCCAAAAAGAGAGTCTTATGGGTTATTCAACTTAAGTGACCTTACTTTATTGAGTTCTAAAACAAACATTCTAAGAACAAGGTCCCAAGATATACAGGAAACGAATGACATTACAAATGAATAGTGAGTTTTAATTTCCTAATTTTGCAACATAAAAATGATTTAGTTTTGCCAATGACAATCATCATCACCCTCATCACGTAGCCGTGGTTGAACTGTGCCAGATTTAGGACCATAGCCACAGCTTTTTATGAATAACTATTCTATAGGATTATCTTGCTTGAGAAATTCTCAGGAGTAGGGAAAGACAGCAAAATTTTCATGAGCTATCCTGTCAACCTTCTGAAAAGAAGTTCTGCTCTCTTTTTAGCTGTACTCTCCTTTTTTGTTGTTGAGATGGAGTCTTGCTCTGTCGCCCAGGCTGGAGTGCAGTGGCACGGTATTGGCTCTCAAGAGGTCATGGCTGCAGTCAGCTATGACCATGTCATTTCACTCTAGCCTGGGAGACAGACTGAGAACCGGTCTCAAAAAAAAAAAAAAAAAAAGGAAAGAAATAGAATAATAATTAAGAATCACAGACAACCATTATTTAGTTCTTGGCCTCCTAAAGCCTTGTGAAAGTTAATGGGAACAAGTAGCTTTGTTCTAAGCACCTCTATTCCAAAGTGATTATGATTTGAGGACACCATCCCTCAATATCAGCATTAGGAGCAAAAAAGAAAGGCTGGCAAGTTTTTCACACTCCAATTTTAGAAATGCTCATTTTAAAGAAAGCATCTAAGAGTTGAGAAAGTATAAGAGATGTAAACTAGCATCAAACCTGCCCTTTCAATAAATTACTCAAAATTAATTTTAATTAACAAAATCCACGCCCTTTTCTACAGTTGATATGAGAATATTAAAAATTAGAGGTTGACAACTGTAAACAGTTCATGAGCCCATTTCAAGCTATATCTTTTGAATCATATGACACAATATTTATAGAAATACAAAATGGTAATTATTTTGTTCTTGGGATTTATGAAAGAAGCTGTTTTCATAAAGGAGGGACTGGGGCCAACACTTAGTTGAGGGCCTAGTAGGAACCTTAGACAGATCATTATTTCCATTTTGCAGATGTGGCAGCTGAGGTGCAGGGAGGCCAACCTGCCCATAGCCTCAGAGCTTGAGCCGACCTATGTGCACCAACTCTGAGCTCATGCTCTTCCCCCAAACCCAGCCTATCTCCCAAGACCACGCCAGTCAGTTAACTCTGTTCTGGATCACCAGCTGGAATCTTAAGGATATAACCTGAACCTGGACACTTCCTCTCTGGTGGACTGTGGCCCAAGGTGGCACAGTTACTACCAAAGTGAAGAGGGTGAGGAGCCCACAGCTCAGGCATAGAACATTCCCACCTCCAGTTTTGCTCAAGGACTGCAGAGCCTCTGGCTTAGTCTGGAAAACCAGGGCTGCCCTTGAACTGCATCACTCCTAGAAGTGGCAGAGTGACCAAAGCAGGCCAAGGCAGTCTGACAGACAGCGGCTCACTCCAGTTCTCCCACTGAGCCCCGGAGCCCCAGGTGCAAAAGCACAAGCACCGCTCCATTTCAGGGTGAAATCCCCAGCTACCGGGTACAACATGGGAAGTTCCTGCTTTGTCCTTCCAGCCGCTTGATGAGCAAAAGCTGCACTGACAACCTCAATTCAGCCCACGGGTGAACTGCAGGGTTGGAGGGGTCCGGCCAGGTCTGACGATGGATTTGATGTAGTGAGAGATTCTCCCCACTGCTCTGACCCCTGCTCTGCTTCCCTAGCCTCCAACAACAGGAGTGGCAACTGGAGCTGTTCATTTCCTCCCAAAAGCTCACAGGAAGTGCAGCCAGGATCATCATGATGAGACACTAATGACCCCTTCCCTCAAGCTGTGGCCAAAACAAATTAGGGGTGGTGGGAAAGAGAGTATTCCAATCCTTAGAAGGCTTGGGTCTTGTCTTTCTCTCAGGGTTGATTTCAAGGGCTAATTTGTCTAATTTCCACGCATCCTGAGAGTCAATAAATGACAAGGAGCCCATGAACTGGAAGGGAGCTGGGATGGGATTCAGCCCTCTACTCTGCATAGAAAGTCCCTCTCCACAGCAGACTGGAGGCATCACCATTTAGTTCTGCTTGGACACTTCCACCAACAAGGACTTCTCCATTTTCACTGGCTGTTCTAATTGTTAAAACCATCTCCCTCACATTGAGTCAGAAATTCTGTCTATCTGTCCTCAAGGGAGATGCTGTGTTATAACATCAGTCCATGTTCTCATCTGCGTGGCAGCTCTTCAAATAGTGTAAGAGGACTACTGCGTTTCTGTAATGCGTTCTCTTTTCAAAAGTGAACAGCCCCCCTCAAGCTCTGCTTGCAAGTCTGTGGAATTATACTGGTCCTAAGTAACCTTGGAATGCTCTCCAGCGTACAGGTATCCTTCATGAAATGCTGGATCCAGATGCAAACTCCAGTCTGGATGTGATCTGACAGCTCAGGGCACATGGCTGGCACTATGACCTCCAGAAGGTACATAAAGGGAGCCTGGGTGGGTTCCATTGGGTGTGTTTATACCCTCAGTTCCTACCAAGTTTGTTGTCAATCACAATCCCCACGATTCCTTCATTTACTGCTATCAAACCACATCTCCTCCATTCTGCACCTGAGCAGTGCATCTTTTCACCTTCCAGACTGGCGAGGGTGAGAAAGTCTTACATTAACAATATGCGGTGTTGGTGTGGTTCAGAAGACTGGTACTCTCCCATCGTTGGTGAGAGTAGAAATGAGTGACTGCCTTTCTGCAAAGTGGCTGAGCACTAGAGATATGAATTTTAAATATGTATGCTCTTTGCCTCAGTAATTCTACTCCTAGAAATCTGTCTTAAGGTCTAATAACTGAACAAATGTGCAAAGATCCATATATAAGGATTCATGTTTCAATGGATACATTGCACAAACACTAGCAATGGCAGGAATTCCTACCAGCTGGTCTTAGTATCTTAAGCTGGCCCCTCTGCTCTTCCTCTTGCTCTCTTATTTTCCATTTTCTATCCAGCAGCCAGACTGAGCATCTAAAACACAGGACCAATCATACCACTCCCCTGCTTAAATTCCTCTGACAGTCCCATTCTTAGAATTAAAATAAATCTGGCTTCCACCTATCTGCTAGACTTCAATAGTGGAGCACCCTGCCCTCTTCCATCCCAAAGCTCTTTCAGACAGACTAGCCCCTGTGGGTCCCTCAAATGCATCCAACTAGTTCCCGCCTCTGGGACTCAAGATGCTTGCTGCTCCTGCCTGGAAAACTGCACCCCAGACCTTCCCAAGCCTGGCTCCTGCCGTCCAGGTTTCGTGCCACGCGCCTCACCTGCAAAGCCTTCCCTGAGGCCCCACACCCTACTTGTGCAGATGCTCTTACACCCACAATTCAGTGTTCCTTCCTCCACAGCACACAGCAGTAGCTGAAGATATCATGTATTTTACTCGTCTGACTGTCCCCTCACCCTCAGTTGAAAGTAAGTTCCATTACAGCAAGAACCTGGTCTATGTTGTTCTCTGCACGAGCCCTGGTGGCACATAGGTGTTGGTCAGTAAGTATCTGCTAAATTGCTGGATGGAAGAACAAACAAATAAATATTTGTTGAATTCCTGAATGGACAAATGAAGGAAGGAAGGAATGAAGTATATGTAGAAAATGTTTGCTTCACTCAGAGTATTACTATGACATACACGCTCAGGTTCCAGGACATCTTATAACTTGCCTTGCTAGAATTTGGTGTGAGCAAACATGACACGAGATTATGAACAGTGCCACACTGAAGGGACTTCAATCGAAAACACTCCAACAATGAACACTGAGGACATGTGTTAATGTTTTCGTATTGGAATTCATATGTTTGTTCATTCAAAACAATACCTACACTCATTGTAGAGAGAGGTTAATATAAAATCCAAGTAGAGTTCTGCCTTTCCATAAAATTCTGTAATTTTCTTTTGGAAGCATGACACTTTAACAGTAGGAATCCTACCGCACTGTGGTCTTAGGAAGGAATTTTATCAGAACTTTTGGAGTCAAGAGAAGTTTTATCCTATTCATAACACCCAAAGAGGCTTTTACAGTGATGAACGAACACAAATATAGCAGATGTTTTTTAAACGTGGAAAAAACCCCCAAATCTGAGCACTTTTTGGCACAACTGGAGCCTACTTTGAATCTAGGAGTAGATGCTGATTTTCAACTTAAATGGCTTTTCTCCCACAAGTGTAATCATTTGCTTTCTAAAATTTGAGATGGTCCATTTTAGCAGGGTAGGTTGTCTGTAAGAATATTGAAAACATCAGAGTTAAACCAAAGAGTACACCCTGTGCAAGGGCTGAAGGCTGGTCAATAACTCCAGGGAGACAGACCAATCCCTAAAAGCTGACCCTCCCTCCCTGCCTCCCTGAATGTTCTCCTTTCCAGTTCCAAATACAGGAACTTTCTGCGGACCTTCCTTAGGCATGGAAGTCATTAGATTTGGGAATGGGGTAAAGCTCTTAGCTATCCAAGCACTGGCTTGCTCTGAGCAGCAATCAGGAATCTGGGTGGAAAGATGGTGTAGACAGAGACCATGTGATGCAATGAAGCTTTTGGGTGGTCTCTGAGCAGTGACACATTTGAGACGTGTGATCTCTGTTCTGCCACCTAGTAATTACGGAGACTCCAGAGAATCTTGGGCTACCTCAGCTTCAGTTTCCACACTGGTAAAATGGGGACAATCCTGTCAGTCTCCTAGAACACCAGTGTTCACTCTGTAGGCTTCTGACCAGCAGCATGGGCACCACCTGGGAGCTTCATGCAAATAAAAACCCCCGAGTCCCATCCCAGGCCTGCAGACTGGTAGCGCTGGGTCGGGGCCCAGCAGTCTGGCTTGCACAAGCCCTGCAGGTGATACTGAAGCCTGCTTAAGTGTGAGAACCATGGGATCACAGTGAACTTCTCCAGCTCTCTGCACCGTTTGCAGGTTCGGTCAACCATTTGACCAGGACACTGACATTTTTTGGATACCAGCATTAAACATCTCCCAGACTCATCTTCCAATATACCAGCAGTCTCTCCATCAGTTTACCAGGCATAAATGCTTAACCAAAAAGTTGGGAAATTTAACATTCTTAAAATTCTTTTGGGGGCAAAATCCTTTGGGAAACTCTCAACAAGTTTAAATGTGATCCAAACCAAAGATTACTTAGTCATAGCTGCCCTCAGAGCAGGTCTCAGACATTCTTCAAGCTCCCCGTATGTAATTTGCATGTGAAGGTTAAACCTCAGGAGAAATCTAGACACTTCCAGTATTTGCTAACTTTTCAGTCTCAATTTCCTCCTAGGACTGTTAATGAAGGAGCCAACTTCTTTGATACTCTGAGTGAATGGTACCGTAAGGAAAGTCACTCCGTCAGGACACAGGACACTGTATACAAAGCACACACAGCACGGCCCAGGACCTGCCAAGCTGGAGGCAACAGGTTCAAACAGGGTCTAGCAGCCTGGTTATAGAGACATCCCCATCCGTACCTGGTGCTCGCTTTTTTTTGTCCAACAAAGCTTTGTGATAAACAAAGAGGGAACGAATAAGATTAAGAACCCCCACAGCTGCACAACCTACATTTCTGGCCAAAGTATGATTCTAGAAAGATGTGTGTATGTTTTCCTAACAAATGCCTAGGAGTTCAGTGTGGAGGGCTGTGGATGATGCTTGTAATGCCAATCAAGTTCTATGCAAACAAATGGGGGATGGAGAGCAGACACAGAGAGGGAGGGGGCGGGGGGAGGACAGCAAGGCGGCAACTGAGCAATTCCTGGTGTGGCCCCACCTGTAAAGTACAGAGGCACCTTCTAGTAATTCAGGTGTTGTATGGGTTCAGTCATGCTTGTCCGGAAGGCAGGTCACACCAGCTCTCCCAGGGTGTGGAGGAAGGTTAGACAATGCGTAAGCACCTGTGCTGACCTCCAAAGCCAGCCCTTAGAAAAATCTAAAGTCAGCCTGGCATGAAGTGTAAACCCACAGTCTGTAGGCTCGCTGTGGGAATGCCGTCAGCCAGGCAGCTCCCAGGGCTCGCAGGATGCTCCTGGTGAAATGCACCGGACACTGCAGCCACCACCACTGGCCAGTTAGATCCCACAGTCTCTGATGTGGGCAATATGGCCCACAGAGGCCATGACAAAGTCAAGCTTTGCGGCTGATACTGACGTTTATTCCTACTGCCTCCATTCTGGGAGGTGTCTATAAAGACCACATGCTCCACAGCATGGATGTCTTCTACAAGCCCCCACTTTCCCTGCAATACTAGGGCAATACGTCCCCAGAATAGAGAACGTCTCTCATCTGTTGACTGTAGCATGGTATTCCAAGGGAGCCAGTATAAGGATAGTTAAATTTTATCAGAAGTTAAGGAATCTTAATTTGAAGTCCAGGAGTACCAGGGGTTCATTTTCATGTTCCTTATAAGCAAACGCTTTGGTGGACTCTCAATCTCCACGGCTCATCAGCCCAGAGCTTCTCTCCAAACCCAGGCATGGGGTCATGGTTCTCCAGGCTGGACCACCATCTCTGCTCTCCTACCTCAGGTTCCTTGGCAGTATTTGGAGAGAGCAGTTCCTTTTCTATCTTGGTCCTGGGTAAAGACCCTTCTGCATTCTTGGTACAGATACTTCCTTAATGATGCATTGAGCTAGAATTATAATGCCTGAAGGATATGTATTCTTTTCTTTTTGGAAATAGAATCTTGCTGCACCACCCAGGCTAGAGTGCAGTGGTGCAATCCTAGCTCAGTGCAGCCTCAAACTCCTGGGCCAAGGGTTGAGGGATGACATTCTCTTGCTAATGACTGTCTACTTAGAAAACTGAGGGCCCTTCTCTGCTGCTTCTACAGCTCCTTCCTCCTCTCCTGACTTTCAGATCCAGTAGGGGGTAGAGAGGTGTTGGCAGTCCACATGAACCAGCACTAACCTTTTAAAAATCTTTTACTCTAGACATGATTCCTAACTGCCCTACCCTTGAATCAGTAACACCCTACATCCTCCTGTGCTTGTCTTTTTCCCTTGCCTGCTTGTGTTTTGCTAAAATAAATTTTCATGTTATTTGGTCCCCATATCTATTTACAAAATCCACAAAAATACATAGTAATATGTCCATACAAAGTCAGACATTCTTAAAAACAAACAAAAGACCTCAGAAGTTGGATGAATTGATGTTCCTCTCACCCAAAGAGAACTCTCATTAACATAGAGCTATAATCGGCCAGCTAGGACCTTCCTGGGTGAGTCCAGAGACATCAGTGGAAGGCTCTCATTTCCCACGGACAGGCCTTAGATACCTCAGGGCAGCTGCTGTGTTGCCATGGCCTCTTCTTCTTCCCCAGGCTAACCTCCCTCAGTTTCCTCAACATTTACATGCAGCCTGGGGTCCAAATCCCCACACTCATGGCTGGCCTCTCCCAGCAGGGATGCTGAATATCCCCATATTACAGTCTGAGGTGATGGTGCCCCAACTGAAGTCATCATTCCCAAAGTGATCTCAAGAGCCCAGAGCTGTCCCCTCTGAGGGAAGCCATCGCCGGCCACCAGAGACCAGCTTCCCAGGGCAACGACTAAAATCATACACCCCAATCCCCACACCTAAGCTCTGTAGGAGGAGGGAAGTGCTGAAGTCACGGGCCATTTCCCACTTCAGCTTGAAAGGCGATCACTTGAGGTGTCTTCAAGAAGGCAGGACCTAGTTACTTACTCACTTTCTGTGCAGGAGGAAGAGATGACTATCTTCATGATAGGGCAGTGCTAAGTCACTGCTACTCCTCAGCCAGTTCCAAAAGAGGAACAAGAAATGCACGGGTGGGGCCATCCCAGATGGTCGGCCATGCGCCCACAAGGGAAGTGGAAGGTGCCGTGGGCGAGTGCAAGAAGCAGCGTAGTGAAAAAGGAAAGCCACCCACTCTGGGGATGTTGTGTTATATTACTTACGGGCCACTGAGAAACTGCTGGCAAGGAAAGGGGAACCAAGATTGGAGAGAGAATGAATATAAATGAATCCAAAGAGAAATGTCACCTCCCAAGACCAACCAGGCGACAGAGCCCTTCTGTATGACCAAGGCCGTCTATAGCCACTTTTATCTAAAACGGATGGACATGGTGCACACATGGCCTCTGTTCTCCAGAGATGTCGAGGGAGGAACAGTACACCATCTACCAACAGAAACTGGAGAGGAGGGCCCCAGAAGAACCTGCAGCATGGCAGACCTCAGTTTTCCCACCCATAAACTTGGAACAGCAGTCCTCTTGAGCAAGCTGGGTTATATAAGCATGAAAAGGAAGAATTAAGTGCTGACACCACAGGACCAATGAACCCATTATGCAACTGAATCTCCGGTTTAAGGAAATACAAAATCTGTCTCCACTGAAGGCCAACAACCTTTCCACTAAGCATCCCAGAGCCCCAAGAGAAGCTGAGGATGGCCCACAGGCACACAGACATGCCAAAGGTGAGATGAGGATCCGTGTCATGAATACACAGGCTAAGACTTCAGTGCTTCCTGTTCATGTTTCAGTGGGGAGGGTGGGATGGGGGTTGGGGGGGGGGGACAATGTTGCCACTAATCACCTTCCTTAACACATCAGAAAAAGGTTGACAGTGAGTGGGCACGCTTCAGTGTTTGCTAGCACCAGCTTGTTCAGCCCGAACAGGTCGGACAGGTTGGATATTTAAACAAAGGCGGAAAAATGTAAGGTATAAAGCCCTGTGAAGTGCTACGGTGGAAATGCTGCCAGCTCCCTGCAGGTTTCATTTTGTGATCTAATGCTGGAAGTCAGGCTCCCTCTTGACTTTGCTACTTTCGAGTTATGAAACTAAACCGGACACACACTCAGGACCTGTTCAAAGTTCTCAGTGCATCAGACGAGGGGCATGGTGGGAGAGGACACCTGGGCATGTTGCATTCCGGAGCAGAGGCCAGCTCTCTGCTAGTCATCCTACCCCCAGCAAGCCCATCCCTAACCTTCCCTAACCTAATTTCTCACTCTCACCACTGCCTGCTGTTCAAGTGTGGGCAAGCACGATGTTCCAGATTCTGCTGCCATCCACCAGTTTTACCCGGTAAGACTGAGCTGCTGAAATACCTCAACAAGATATGTCAAAAATACTGTACTGCTTGCATTAAAGATAAAATTTATTTTGCATTTCCTTTCCAAAACACAAACTGACAACAACTCTGCTAAAACAGAAGAAAACTTAAGTTATAAATATTAGCATCCAGTTGGCCAAATGATAAAAAACTAATTATGAACCAGATCATAAATTTGAGAACCAGTGATAGGACGAAAAAGGCTTGATTGTTGCTTAACATGTCCACTGAGGGGACAGTGTCCACTTGGACAGTTTTATGATTGTTATGCTCTTTGGCATAACTGAACATGAACTTGGTCAATTCAATTCAGAGAGAAATTCTAAATCAAAAGTAAGCATCGGCCACAAGAGGTTTTTCAAATATTTCTTCAAAAATATAAAATAGGCCAGGCATGGTGGCTCACGCCTGTAATCCCAGCACTTTGGGAGGCTGAGGTGGTCGGATCACCTGAGGTCAGGAGTTTGAGACCCGCCTGGCCAACATGGTGAAACCCCATCTCTACTAAAAATACAAAATTAGCTGGGTATGGTGGCGCATGCCTGTTATCCCAGCTACTCGGGAGGCTGAAGCAGGAGAATTGCTTGAACCCAGGAGGCAGAGATTGTGCCATTGCGCTCCAGCCTGGGCGACAAGAGTGAAACCTCATCTCAAAAAAGAAAAAAAAAAAAATACACACACACACACACACACACACACACACACACACATATACACACATACATATATATATATACACACACATACATACATATATACACACACACATATATATAAAATAAGCTGTGCTGATTGTTAAAGGGTATTAGAAAAGAAAAAAACACAAAGTAAAAGGGAAAAATGTTTTGAGGAAGGTCAAGTCTAGCAAATAAAAAACAGGCTACACAAGAGACTGTCAATTAAAATTGGCCAACTTTTAGCTTTGATAATTTTCTTACACTTTTTATCTAATTTGAAGAATAAAATTCAGTGACAGATCACACTTGCCTACCCTTTTTCTCAGAGGATAGTGGCAGCTTTCGATTATTCACAGATTTCTAAAATGCAAAGTAAAAATTCTGGAAAGAACCACAGAATCTCATCTAATAGTATTAATGCAAATCCACACTAAGAAAGTATAAAAATAGGCCAGGCATGGTGGAGTGTGCCTGTAGTCCCAGCTACTCGGGAGGGTAAGGTGGGAGGATCGCTTGAGCCTGGGAGGTTGAGGTTGCAGTGAGCTATGATGGCACCACTGCACTCCACCCTGGGAGACAGAGTGAGACCCCGTCTCAAAACAAAACAAAACAAAACAAAAAAATCACACACACACACAAAACCCAAGCACACACACATATATATGTAAACATCATAGAACAAGCAATCAAAAAAGAAGAAAAAAAGGCAAGTGTTCAAATAATAAGGATTTGCACAACTTGGCCATGGAAATTCAGCACATGATACACAGCACTGTTACCAGGTTCTTGGGTTCTTAGAATGCAGTCTACGTTGCCCCAATTGTTAAGAAGCTGGGAGTCTATTTTCTCACTTTAGTAAATCCATCTGCTGAACTAGTATGTATAAGGAACTGCTGGGTTAAATATCTTAAGGGAGAGGAGAAAGGAAGGCCTTGAACTACAATTTGTTGAGCACCTAACGTGAGCCAGAGGCTTGAGTATATGTTACAGCATTTAATCCTTCTAACGGATTTTGTGAGTAAACGTTACCCCCACTAAAGATGAAGAAATTGAGGCTCTTGACCATTCCAGGGAGTATCCTTTATCAGCCCTGGCCAGAAAAGTTAGGCGGAGCTATCAGAGGACTCAGAAGCACCAAAGAAAATGTCGCCCTTCTTTAAACCACTACTGAAGTAAAAACAAAAGCACCCAGGTTTCAAATCCAGCCAACGAGATGTAAAGAAAGGCTAAATTTGTTTAATCAATCAATAAGCTTATGTGGTGAAAGCTTAATAATGCTACTGGGGGGAACTGGTAGCCCAGACATTCTGCTGCAATAAACAGATTTGTAAATATCCGCTCTTTTTCTCCATGTCTTATCTAGTGGAAAATCTCCACTCTGGAGGGAAGATTATGGGCCTCTTACCAAGGTGCACTCTCAAGAGTGAAAAGCATATTAAGTGGAATGATCATGGAATGGGATATTACACTTACATATTTTTTTTTAATCTGGTTGAAAAGAGAAGTTTCAGCCCTTCTTAAAGAAAAGCTTTCTAAATTATACCAGAAGTATGTCTATTTTAGTGTTCAGAGTACTAACATATGCTGAAAACTGCTTTGATACCCAAGTATTATCATAATGAAACTACAGTACCAAATATTCACTAAACGCCCAACATATATAAGGAGATATATACAGTTCATACAACTATGCTGACTACGTATATCCCATTAAAATCACATTTACACGAACCCCTCAACAGTCTTTGCACAGAACATTTATGTCCTTCTAAGTGGAGTTAAATGTGTTAAGATCTCTGAGCATCCCTGAAGGACATTTGCTTTTGATTTGTCCTTCCCCCTTGGATGTAGACAACTGAAATGCTTTTAAGATTTTCTTTTCCATAGAAGTATTTCAAGGGAAACAAAACATTCACACAGTCCGGGGCAGGGTGACCCACAGATTTTTATCCTACAAATAAATATATAATTTATTCCCATGTGAACTGTCCTGATACTTTCCTTCCTGCAGAAGAATATGTCAAGAGGGACAGGGACCTGGTGATTATGACATTAATTTTAAGATGGGACTGACTGAACCTTTGAGTGGTCACCTCCACCCTTCAGAAGCAGCAAGCGCCAGAACGAGCTACATACAGGGTGTCCTCAGAAACTTGATACGACCATGATGGAAGTTCACAGGACCCTTCCTCTTGCGGGGAACTGAGGGTAAAGAAGTGACTGTCCCCTGCTTTCAGAGACACTGTGCTACCTCTGCTCCTTGTCTCATTTAATACTGGCCACCTGTTCCAGATACCCAACTGCAGTTGTGCGCCAAGGGCTGGCTTAGCCTAAGCATCTTAGAGTAGCATGCTAAATTCAGAGCCTTCGTGGTCTCATTTGTCATGGAGCAGGTCACATTTCTGCGCAGCTAATATTTTCTTCAAGCATAATAGGAACATATAAGCCTCTTCCTGAAGCCTATCCTGATGTCCAGGGGCATCCTCAGGGCCTATGTCTCCCATACTTGGCAACAGAAAAAATCGTGCCTATGGCTGCAGGAAAAAAGCCTGCAACGAAACAACTAGATGATGTTCCAAGGATTTCCCTTCTTCATCTTCACCCTTCTTTTTGAGGCAAAGTCTTGCTTTGTTGCCCAGGCTGGAGTGCAGCGGCGTGATCTCAGCTCACTGCAGCCTCCGCCTCATGAGTTCAAGTGAACTCAACTTCCTGAGTAGCTGGGATTATGGGTAATCTGGCTAATTTTTGTTTTTTTAGTAGAGATGGGGTTTTGCCATGTTGGCCAGGCTGTTCTCAAACTCCTGTCCTCAAGTGATCCACTCACCTTGGCCTCCCAAAGTACTGGCCCATCTTCACCATTCTAATGACAGCTGAAATCAGAACACATCCCTACTCTTCAAAGAATCAGTGAAGTTAGTCATGAAAGCTTGCCCCTGCCAGGGTCTTAAGCATGCCCTTAAATGTAAGACATGCTCCACAACTCTTTAGAATTAAAAGTCTACAGTCTGTAAAATAAGGAGCAAAGTGAAAATTAATTTCCTATTTTCCCAAGGCAATTTTAAAAGGAAAATACCAGTTTTAGAGACAGGCTTTATTCCAAATGAGGCACATTTCTATCCTCTGTTTCAAGTATCATTTCTTCACAGCTTTGCAGCTCAGCACTTCCTGGAACAAGCTTTGCAAACTGCAAAGCTCAATGCCCTTTTTCCTACATTGAGCTCTCCCAGAGGCGTGCTCTGGCTCAGTTTCCCAAGTTTGTTTTGGAAGACGAGCACCACTCAATCCAAATTTTCAACGTGGGAGCAACTGATAAAGAGTTCTGGGAAGTTAAAAGCTGGATCCACAGTGATGTTTCCGTGCTACATGTTTTGTACTTGATGGTAACCTACTCTTCTGCTCAGCAACTGAGCTGTGGTTAGAAAGGCTTGGGACAAAGGATTTTCAAACCTCAAACACATGAGAATCTGCATACAGGCAAGTGGCAGCTCACAAAGCTGTACCAGATATAGTAATAAATTAAAAAGGTCTTTACCCTAACCTTTCTCAAAATAAATTAAAATAATATAAGTAATAAATTAAAAAGGTCTTTATCCTAACCTTTCTCAAAATAAGTTGGAATTAGCATCACTCTCATCTCCCTACTTGCCAAAATATAATTACTTTTAAAAGATCAAGTAAATTTATTTACTAGAAAAAAGTATAGTAAGTTATAGGCTTTATCAGTGCTACAAAGCAACTGTCAATGACTACACATAATTTAATATGCTACCTTCATTCTGTGAAGTTTACTTTATTTGACCAATATAACAATTCTGAGTGTCCTCTTATAAAACTAAGATAAAGGAAACTCTACAAAAAGACTGAGTAGCATTACAAATACAGATAACTAACAAATACTCATAAAATGACCACAGGCCAAAGGAAATAGAGTGAGTTGCTCTATAAAGGCACCTCAATATCAGCTAAGAGTAACTTGAAACTTGAAAGGATGTAGTCCTCAGAGTCTGTGTTGTGAGGCCGAGTGTTTCAGCAAAAAAAAAAAAAAACAAAAAAAAAAAACGAAAAAAAAAACCAAAAAACAACGAACTTTGGGGTGGAGCCCAGATCTGCCTCAAGCAGGCAACACCGGAGGGCTGGGCTCATCTGGAAGAGTGTGCACACACACGGAGGTGTGCATCCCACGTGTGCGTGTGGACAGCCTTCAGAGCAGGGGGTGAGCAGGAGGAGGGGGAAGGGTAAGCTGTGTAGTTGTCAACTGTGCTGTTGAGGAGCAGAGCACAGACCAGCCTTGTGGAATCAAGCCTTCAGAGAAATGAAACTCCAGAAATCCACGCTACAGAGAATCATGCCGCAGCAGAGGGCCCACCCAATCTGTGCCCCTCAGGGGAAGAGTCAAAAATCAGAGCACAGGGCCATGTCAGATGAAACTGGCACAGTTGAGGGAGGGCCTCAAACGGGTTACAAACAAGATGGAACGGAGGCACCTGGGTGTGGGTGTCCTGGGAAGCTGAGGCAGAGGTTCTCTGATCCCTCAGCTTAGCATCGGCTCTGGAGACCCCATGAGGGAATTCCTGTGCACTACCCAATCCCAGCAGGTGCCAACAGACCTTGGGAAGCAGTGGTAGCGGAAGGGAAACAAGAAAAAGAACTTTGATCTTAAGCACTAAACTCTCACAGATCGACTGATTTCCTTTCATACTTCTCAGGACCTGGGTTGCATTACTCTTTTTAATTCCTGCACACACATCCCAGGGCAGTTCTGGCCCCTGATTAACGTAACACAGGCCCACAGGTATGTGCTTGGGAGAGATCACAGCTCACTACTAGAGTCTCAGATTCTGGAACAGATCCACCGGGGCAAATAAATCTAACTCCATTCTCTCTGGCACATTTTTGTAAGTGTTCTCACATTTTTATAATTTTTTTCAAAAGTACAGTTTCGCTAACAAATGAAATGGTAATGACTTTTATGTGATTTACCAAAACCCAAATGTTCTTTTAACTCATTATTTGCAACTTTCTGCAAAGACATAATAAATGTAGTATGATAATCCCTAGTATTTCAAATATATTATTACTTAAATTACAGATTAAGTGTAGCAAAAAGTAAAACAAGCACACTTAAAAGAAATCACTCTCAATTTACTCAATTTATTTTCTGGCATTATATGAATGTTTACTCAATATATTTTCCCTCTCTGGCACATACAACAATAAAAGAGTAGTAACCATTACTGATATGTACCATTTAACAAGCACTACCCCAAGTGCTTTGCATGTAGTATTTACTGATCATCACAACATTCCCATGCGGTAGGTACGGATAATACTACCTTTTACAGATGAAGTAATTAGGACACAGAGGTGTCAGGTAACTTGTCTGGGATCACACAGCTAGTAGTGGAACACTTCCTTAGATTGTCATTACGGTGGTTTCAGCTCTAACAATACAGACTCAGAAACTCCCTCTACCTAGGGCATGTCCATAGTACACTGTAAACCTTCAGAACCCTTTTACAAACATTATTAAATCTGAGCCCAAGTTCAATATGAGGTAATACTAAGCCATTCTGTTAAAGTGTCAAAAATTTAAGAGATTTCCACAAAGTTCTGCAGAACTAAGATTAGAACTTAGCCCCAATTTAGTCCTCTCCTCTGATTCAAGGTGCCTCAAAATAAGGAAAATCAGTACCAGAAAACCAACAATTAGCACAAACAAGTAGCACCAAGGCCTGCTTTTCTTCTGTTCCCCACGCTGGAGTGCAGTGGCAAGATCTCGGCTCACTGCAACTTCCACCTCCTGGGTTCAAGCGATTCTTGTGCCTCAGCCTCCTGAGGAGCTGGGACTACAGGCACACATCACCACACCCGGCTAATTTTTTGTATTTTTAGTAGAGACATGATATTGTTATGTTGGCCAGGCTGGTCTCAAACTCCTGGCCTCAAGTGATGGGCCTGCCTCAACCTCCCAAAGTGCTGAGATTACAGGTGTGATCCACTGTACCCGGCCAATGCCTGCTTTTAAAAAAATATTTATAAACAACTCCAAAATACAATGACCATAAATGAGAAATGTATCTTAGAATAGTACCAAGGGCTATGCTATAAAAAATTCAAAATAATTTCTAAGACTATCCAAGTAAACCCAAACAACACAGAGTAATAAAATTCAGTCAAAATGGCTGCCCCCAAAACTATCCCATGCTCACTATACATAGAATATGCTACTGGGATGACAGAAATAGTTTAACATTGAAAATAACGTTCTATAACAGCACAGAATTGTGTTGAGAATGAGGAAAAGAGTGAAAGAGTGCTTTTTTTCTAATATGCAAAGTGACACAAAAGCTACATCAATTATTTCTCACATACAGTCTGTGCGTCCCAATCAGAAAATCTGAAATCTGAAATGTTTCAATATTCAAAACTTTTTGAGTGCTGACATGATGCCACAAGTGAAAATTCCACACCTTACTTCATGTGATGGGTCCCAGTCAAAATTTTGTTTCATGCACAAAGTTATCAAAAATATTGCATACAATTATGTTCAGGCTATGTGTATAAGGTGTATATGAAACATATATAAATTTTGTGTGTAGACCTGCATCTGTGTCCCATCCTCAAGATACCTCATTATGTATGTGCAAATATTCCAAAAAAACAAAACAAAACAAAAAAACAACAAATCAAAATCCCAAACACTTCTGGTCCCAAGCATTTTGGATATGGGGTACTCAATCTGTGGTAGTTAAAAGCATGGCCTCTGAAGCCAGATATCCTTTATTCAAATCTTAGCACTGTCTATTACTTTAGTCCTTTCCTCATTTGCAAAATGGGATAATAATTATACAATCCTTACAAGGCAGAGTACATAAAAATAAATGGAGATCAATAAGGAAATGGAAGACTTGAACAATGCTATAAACCTACTAGACCCAACAGCAAATCTACAGAACACTCCACCCAACAACAGCAGAATACACATTCTTCTCAAACAGATGGAACACTCTCCAGGATAAACCATATGTTAGGTGATAAAACAAGTCTCAGTACATTCACAAAGTTTGAAATCATGCAAAGTATGTTCTCCAACTATAATGGAACGAAACTAGAAATCAGTAACAAATTAATAGAATGAATTTCCCCGACCATAATGGAATGAAACTAGAAATTAATAAGAAATTTGAGAAGTCACAAATTTGTGAAAACTGAAGACCACATTTCTAAATAACCAATGGGTCAAAGAAGAACTCACAAGGGAAATTAGAAAATATGCTGAGATGAATGAAAAAGAAAACACAACATACAAAAACTTATGGGAAACAACTAAAGCAATGCTTATACGAAAATGGATAGCTATAAAAGCCTGTATTTAAAAAGTTCTCAAGTCAATAATCCAGCCTTATACTTTGCTATAACACCGGAAAAAGGTCAAACTAAACCTAAAGAAAGCAGAAAACGGATAATAATAATGTTTAGAACAGTAATTTAATGAAACAGAGAACAGAATAGAGGGAAATCAATGAAACCAAAAGTTGGTTATTTGAAAAGATCAATAAAATTTACAAATGTTTAGCTAGATTGACTAAGGGAAGAAAAGAAGATTCAAATTATTATAGTTAGGAGTGAAAGAAAGGAAATTATTACTAACTACAGAATAAAAAGGATTACAAAAGGATATTATGAGTTATTGTATGCCAACCAATTATATCACTTGATGAAATATCCAAAATTCCTAGAAAGACACAAATTGTTGAAACTGACTCAAGAAGAAACAAAATCTGGGGTGAGGCGCGGTGGCTCTCACCTGTAATCCCAGCACTTTGGGAGGCTGAGGCAGAAGGATTACTTGAGGTCGGCAGTTCAAGACCAGCCTGGCCAACATAGCAAAACCCCATCTCTACTAACAATACAAAAATTAGCCAGGAGTGGTGGTGCACGCCTGTAGTCCCAGCTACCTGGGAGGCTGAGGCAGGAGAATCACTTGAAACCGGGAGGCGCAGGTTGCCGTGAGCCGAGATCACGCCACTGCACTCTGACCTGGGTGAAAGAATGAGACTCTATCTCAAAAAAAACAAACGAACAACAACAACAACAAAAGAATAAAGGACAAAAACAACCCAACCATAGATGCAAAAAAAAAAAAAAAAAAAAAAAAAAATCATCTGACAAAATCCAATACCTTTTCATAATAAAAACACTCAAAAAACTAGGAAAAGAAAGAAACTTTCTCAAACTGGTAAGGAACATTTATTTAAAAAACCCACAACTAACATCATATTTAATGGGGAAAGACTGAATGCCTTCTCCTTAAGATCACAAACAAAAAAAGAATGTTCATTCTCTTCACTTCTATTTGACATTGTTTTGCAGGTTCTAGCCAGGGCAAGTAGGCGAGAAAATGAATAACAGACATGATATAGGATAAGGAATCCACTAAGTAACTACTAGAATGAATAAATGAGGTAAGGTTGGAGGGAACAAAATCAATATATAAATTTTAACTAGCCATGAACAACTGAAAAATTAAATTAGAAAACTCTACTTATAATAGTGCCAAAAATAATAAAATACTTAGAAATAAATTTAACCGATATAAAACTTGTACTCTGAAAACTATGAGACGTTGAAAGAAATTCAGGACGACTTAACAAATGGGAAAACATCCCATGTTCATAGATCGAGTTAGTATTGTTATGATGGCAATACCCCCAAATTGAAAGTTTTAACAACAGTTTGGCAATTCCTCGACTTAAACATGGATTTACCATATGACCCAGCAATTCCATTCCTAAGTGTCTACCAAGAAAAATAAAAACACAGGCCCACACAAAATGTCGTACAACAATGTCAACAGCAGCTTTGTTCGTAATAACCAAAAAGTTGAAACAACCCACATGTCCATCAGCTGATCAAGGGATAAGTAAAATGTATCATATTTCTACAATGAACTATTATTTAACAATAAAAAAGAACCTGAAGCCCACTGAAGTGCACACTTTACACGGTATAATGTATGATGTATGAATTATACCGTAAGATGTAAAAAAAAAAAATGAAAAGTGAATACAGACATGTGTTCACGTAATACAGATATGACACCCAGAGCACCACAGTTTCAGCAATGATTATTTGTAAAAACACACTGCCACACAGGTTATTGTAGAAGACAATAACTACGCCTTTTATAGCTGTGTTTATTTCAATCATGTCTCAAAATAGAAAATGTCTGAATCAGGAGTGATTGGGCCTACCATCAAGAGATGTCTCATGGAGGATCACAGTGGTCAGTGGTTAGGGCCAAAACGCCACTAGGAGGGGCCTCTTTACCAATGTGCCCACTTGCCCCTGCCAACTTGGAGCTGGCCCATGGGGAGTTCCACTGAGCAGAGGCTCAGCAGGAAAAAGTGATGGAACCCCCAAGAGGGGAACAGGCAATACCTCTAGGACCAGATTCTGAGAAGGGCAAATATGTAAAGGACAAAGGACTTTTTGGGGGTGTGGGGTGTAGAACGAGCAGACCTAAACAGAAGGCAAAAATAAAGGATACCAACAGGCCAACATGGTGGTAAAAAAATAAAAAGCTAAAATGCAAAATATTGTATTGTAAAATAGTAACACTATTCAATTCCTTTGTACCCAAAAACAGTCCCAGGAAGAGATGAGGGGCAAAGAGAATAACCCATCAGGACTGAAATTTATGAGAAAATAAAAAGCAAAACACTTTGTAAATTCTTAAAATATTCACTTTTCATGAAGTCATACTATACCTCACTTCTAAGAGTTTAGACTGAGATATACACTGGCTTTAAATTACTGCAGCATTACTTAGAAACGCAAATAATAATAAACACTGAGTGCTTAGTTTGTGCCAGGAACTGTGTGCTAAACTAATTAGCACCGAATCCTCAGCCTTATCCAGTGATGTAGGTACGATTAAAAATCTCGTTTTGGGGGGTCAAAATAGCATGAAAGAAAATAATAAAACAAAAAAAATCTCATTTTAAAGATGAGAAACTGGAGTACAAAGAGGTTAAGTAACTTGCTTGAGGATAGAAAATTTACAAGTAGCAGTTGAGACTTGAATTCAGGTGCCTAGTTCCCAAATCAAGAAACTTAACCGCTGTATCAGTATGTCCCATGTGTACGTGTAATAAACTGGTCCAACTCATTTTAGTGTTTATATAACCAAATATAACTAGCATATCAATTTTATAGTAGTTATATAAAGTTTTCTTTTGAAATAAACATGTAACAAATGTGACTCAACTTTTTTAAAAGAAAGCAGAATAAGGACTGGACAGGAATATGGAAAAGTAAACCCCTCAAAACATGTATGATCAGCCTATAAACTCTATTTTCCATAGGTTCACCCCAAACAATTTTAATATGTCTACCACTCTACTGTCTCCCACTTGAGTGAGCATCTTTCTCTCTCAGGAATTAATGTCCTGATGTTTATCAGATTTTCTTTTTCTTAATTTTATCCTATCTTATCCTGAAGCTCCAGGACCAGTCCACTTAACTATTTATTAAAAGGTCCCAGACTTTTTGTTTTTATTTGCAATGAAAAGGTCTGTCAGGAATCTGGTAGGCATATGCAAATATTTTTTAAATGGCAGGGTTACGTGGATGCTACTCATGGAGAGTTCCTCTCTTACATGTGATAATCTGCCCACTTCTAGCACCCAAACAAACAACCAACTCCAATTGGCAGAGGGGAAATGACTCTGTGTTTCATCCTGAGGAACTCTGAAGGGCCACAGACCTTGCCAAGGCACTTCACCTCTAATACCCCAGAGATAGTGTGCATCTCTGGTTTTTCCATACAATGGACAGAGCTCCAGAACTCTCTGTACCTTTAGGCAAGTCTTCTGAAGGCTCAGAGGCCACTGTCCTGCCTGCCAACCTCCAAGTACCAGCCAACCCCCCAAGCAAAGGGCGCCCTCACCCACCTGTGCATGTTCCCATTGGTGGTAAATGACTGGCCACACACAGTGCACTTGTAAGGCCTCTCGCCAGAGTGCACCAGCATGTGGCGATCGAGGGAGCTGGCCGAGCTCAGTGACTTTCCGCAGATGCTGCATGAGTGGTCGGCTCCTCCAGTGTCTGTGTTGTGCTGCAGAAAGCAATGGTCACAGCGGTCACTTAAGAAAGTGCATCAGAAGCTCAGCTCTTAGGAAATGCAGATCCAGAGCTTTATTAAAAAAACCAATCAACTTTCTTGGCTATGTGTTTCTCTTTCATTTTAAATATCTTTCTGAAGGGGTAAAATGTATCAGGAAAACAGGCAAATAAATATTTTGTATGATATTCCTCCATTCCCACATTGTTTTGAAAACTACTTCTACTGAAAGGCTCAGAAAGAAGTAGAGCCTTCCCAGGTCTTGCTTTGAACCACATACAGATTCAGTGACCACATATATTAACTCCTACAAGCCGAAGGACACTCAACAGTGAAGGAAATATGTCCTTCCATTAAAGGAGTCAACGTCCCTTCTTCAGATTTGATGACTCAGGCCTGCCGTCAGAGAAAGAGAACTGAAACCTGCACAGGGTAGAGTTTTGGCCTCTGAAAGACGGTAAAAAGGAACATTTCTATTCAAACCCGAGTTACTTTAGTAACTTGATGTTAATTCAGTACTATGTCATGATTTTACTAGGTCATCAATCCTTCACTGTTCTACACTCATCAATATTTTGTCATGAATTGGCCACAGCAGGAGAAGAAGGGTAAATCTCATAATAAAGGAGAAAAGCAAAAAAAGACCCCAAGCTGAGTAGATTTCCTTCTGTGTTATGTACGTTTATACTAATATAAACGTGCTGAAACCCCGTCTCTACTAAAAATATAAAAAAATTGGCTGGGCGTGGTGGTGGGCGCCTGTAATCCCAGCTACTTGGGAAGCTAAGGCAGGAGAATCACGTGAACTCAGGAGGCAGAGGTTGCAGTGAGCTGAGATCGCACCACTGTACTCCAGCCTGGGCGACAGAACGAGACTCCGTCACACACGTGCGCGCGCGCACACACACACACACACACACACACACGTGTGGGGGGGAGCGATTCTATTTTATTTTATTTATTTATTTTGAGATTTATTTATTTTGAGACAGAGTCCCGGTCTGTCACCCAGGCTGCAGTGCAGTGGCGCAATCTTGGGTCACTGCAACCTCTGCTCCCGGGTTCAAGTGATTCTCCTGTCTCAGCCTCCCAAGTAACTGGGATTACAGGTGCATGCCACCATGCCTGGCTAATTTTTGCATTTTTGGTAGAGATGGGTTGGCCAGGCTGGTCTGGACCATGTTGGCCAGGCTGGTCTCCAAATCCTGATCTCAAGTGATCCGCCTATCTTGGCCTCCCAAAGTGTTGTGGTTACAGGCATGAGCCACTGCACCCAGCCAAAAAGGAATTCTGTGTTGACCTAAGACTTTGTCACAGGAATATGCATATACAAAAGTCATTTCATAACCACCTCCCAAAATTATTTAAAAAACTAAATTTAAATTAGGCACAGCTACAGCTCATCCATTAAAATCCAATTACCCTGCCCTGTGCTTAAGGAAGAATAATTTAGATCAAAAATAGGCTGGTCCGAAGGTACTGAGTTATCTCAACTGATTGCTCACAGTGAGTGTTTAACTCCTTGTTCTACTCTTCCCCCTCTTCTCATTACTGCACTTGACTAAAATAAAATAAAATAAAATAAAATAAAATAAAATAAAATAAAATAAAAGAACAGTGGGAATCTACCTGGCGAATGTGCATGGTCAGCTGGTGCTGGGTAGTGCAAATCTTCTCACACAGGGGGCAGTTATAGGAAGACTTCTCCTCTTTCGTTTCCTAAAAAGAAAGATTAAAAGGGAAGATAAATTTCAACTCACAGTCAACAAGTGCCTTTTCTTTCTGTAATAAGTGTAATAAGCACTTGTGTCTATGTAGCTGAGAGCATGGGCTCCAGAACCTGCCCAGGTATAAGCTTGTGCAAGTCACGGCCCTGTCTGCCTCAGTTTCCTCATTTGAAAGATGGGAAAAACAGTACCACCTACCATACCATGCTGTGATGCAGGTTAAATTACCACATGCCAAGCACTAGAACAGTGCTGGGATCATAGTCAGTACTCAATCAATACTAGCATTCTAATTACACAGACACCACTTAATAATCTGTGATGGTGAAAAATTAAGCATTGACTCACGGAAGAGCTAGAAAGGAATACATTTCTCCCCAAGTCCAGCCTGGGCTATTTTGCAACAGGTTTCAGGGTCTCCAAGAACACCTGAGAGATAACAAGGTTCTCATCAGAAGAGCCCACCCTACAAAGAGGGAAGCCCTCAGTGCCTAGCTGTGCACCCAGTGGGCATGCCCCTGCCCACTGCTAGCATCTGCTTAACACTGCTCATAAATACTCAACAAAAACATCACACTGAGAAAATTGCTGTCCTTATCACGACAACTTTGATAGGAATGCCAACCCAAACTGAAGACTTCCACAGAAGGTGACAAAAGAACCAGCTCACTACTTGGTGAGGGGGCTCCTTTTATGTTCCCTCAGAATGCACAGGTCAAGCAGTATGTTTTGTCTTTTTCAGAAAAAGCCAATGTCGTTCACTAACCCTATGCTACAGATCCTCTTTCCAAATAATTCATGCAGAGTTCTAGGCTGTGTGCATCATTGACTCCTCACCCCCACAGTCCCTAAGACCACGGGTTCCTGTCTCAATACCCAAAACTAACTGGACCTAGGCTTGGATACCTCTCCCAGTAATTTGGAGTTGGGATGCTCAGAGATTTCTGAAGATCAGCAGAATCACCTGGGGGGTTGGTTTCTATGCATTTAACCAGATTCTGGACGTGCCACATCGGAGTCACTGGGGGACTGGGGTTGGGGGAGTAGAACCCCAGAAATCTGTTTGTCTCACAAGCTCCCCAGATGATGGTGATATGTGCCCAGGTTTGAGGATGGCTAAGTTACTAAGTTGGGTGATTATGAGCACTTGAATTGAAAGTTCATGGAGAGGTAGGGCTGAACCCAAGGAGGCTTGCACCTCGGCAAGCCCAAGCCAGGAGAAAGCAGTGTGGAAGATGTCAGTGTTAACCCAACGGGATGGAGGGCACCGTCCCTAGGGCTGGATGCTCTGTCTAGGCTCTGGGTCATTTCCTATCCTCGGGCATCTTTCAATAGACCTCTTTTTACTTGCATTCATTTGAATGAGTTTCTGCTCCTTGCAAATAACACCAATTACTGCACACTTACCATGTGCTAAACTCTATACAGAACCATCAGGGTTTTTTCACAACCACTAATAGACAAGCATTATTATGGATCCCATTTTCTGGATGCGGAAACTGGGGTACACAGAGGCAAGTAACCTGCCCCAAGTCAGAGAACTATTAAGTGGTAGGCACAGCATTAAAACCCAGGCCAGCTGCTCCACAGCCCATGCCCTAAGCCACTATGCTCTATATAAAGTCTGACCAAAAGGATTAACCCCAAGGCACGGAAAGGAAACACTCTTGTGGTTGCTTATGGGAGATGATGAAAATAAAAGTCACCCTGAAGACTATAAAAGCAAATGGCGCCATAAACCAGACGGGTGGAATGAAGGCATGATGATGTCTAGCTCACAGCCACCTTCCCTCTCACTCCTCTTCAAAGACAAACAAGTCTCATTCTGAGCAATAGGAACTTTTTCTTTTTTTTTTTAAATGGAGTCTCACTCTGTTGCCCAGGCTGGAGTACAGTGGCACGATCTTGGCTCACTGCAACCTCCGCCTCCCGGGTTCAAGTGATTCTCCTGCCTCAACCTCCCAAGTAGGTGGGACTACAGGTGTGCGCCACCACACCTGGCTAATTTTTGTATTTTTAGTAGAGACGGGGTTTTGCCATGTTGGCCAGGCTGGTCTTAAACTCCCGACCTCAGGTGATCCACCCGCCTCAGCTTCCCGAAGTGCTGGGATTACAGGCATCAGCCACCGTGCCCGGCCAAAACTTTTTTCTAATCTATGGAATTGGGTCTGAGAACTAGGTATGCTCTACATTTTCACACAAAAAGAATTAAGGATATGGATTCTACAAAACATGAACATCCTAGAGATAGTGGAAAAAACAAATTCCCAGTCGTACTCATTTATCATACTTCTAGTTCTTTCTGAGGTATAATGGGGGAGGGGGTGTCATACCTTCTCTGCCCAGTTCTACAACTGCAGTCGGAGTAGAGCTGGCCAAGGACCCCCATGGGGGCATGGGTGTGGGGAGAAACAAAAGCAACAGCAACAAAGTAAGACATAACAAGGAGGGATGTCTCACAGCCAGGCCAAAAGTTGGGGATGAGTTCCACCTCCGGGGTATTGTTGTCAAATTAGTAGATAGGCAATTTTACATACACAAAATTTTTAAAGTTACCAACAGGATGGTGATACATCAATAGGATGTAAATACATGTTTTAAAAAAAAAAAAAGGCCTCCAAGTGACCAGCCACAGGGAGACAAATTTGTTTAAAAAATCATCTTGCATTCACCTTGCAATAGACAGCAGGCACACTGTGCGGCTGGTGGGGCTGACTTGTGTTGACTCTGGGGTGACTCATGAACTGACACCCCAGCCTTCTCTGAGGCTGGCAGTGCTGTGCTGCAGGCCATCATACAGGTCCACAAAATCCAAGTTATATGGGAGGAGGTCTACAGACCCAGATGTAATCTTTTAAAATGAACCATGTCAAGCATGGTGGCTCATACCTGTAATCCCAGCACTTTGGGAGGCTGAGGTGGGAGGATGGCTTGAGCCCAGGAGTTTGAGACCAGCCTGGGCAACATAGTGAAACCTCGTCTCTGCAAAAAGTTTTTTTTATAATTAAAAAAAAAAAAAGCCAGATATCACAGCAATTAAGACAGTTTACACACATTAGCTGTATAGTTTATGAAACTAGGAATCAACCATGCTCTGGTTGAGAAATAGAGACCCTGTCTCTATTTTAAAACATAATAATAATAAAAAAAATAATAATAATAAAATGAACCTACTAGAAAAGACAGCACTGTGATACTGGAAGAGAGGCCCTCCTGGAGAATTCTGTTTTTGTTTTTTATAGGACATGGAGGTCTCATAATATTGCCCGGGCTGGCCTTGAACCCCTGGGCTCAAGCAATCCTCCCACCTCTGCCTCCCAAGTAGCAGGGATTAGAGACATGCCACCACGCCCAGCACCCTAATGGAGAATTCTGAATCCAGTTATTGCAGCCATGCTGGTGGAAGGAGCACACCTCCTGAGCTGAAAGATAAAATTAGCAGCTAATGTGATAACTAACCATTCCATAATGAAACAATCTGGCACCCTTGTCAGCATCCGGCTGTGGCTAATCTCTCCTGGAACTCTAAGCTCACACCAATGGGACTTTCCCCAGGCTCCGTCTCTCAGCACTCCCTGTCTAGTCCACAGGTAAGGAGAATGCTTCCTTCTTCCCCATACTCTCTCCCCACTGAGTTTTGTTTTTTTAGATTAAGAACTGTATTTACCAGGCTACCTCTGGCCAGGACCTCCATTTCAAAAGCAAACTCAGCATACCAGATCCCTGGAGAAGAAAGGAGGGGGATGAAAGGCAGCCCTGCCCCACCTGCACAGTTGCCTCCTCACACCTGAAGAGGCAGCCTCCAGTTAGCATGCAAACATGGGAGGTGCTGTGGGCATCCTCCAGGGCCCTAACCACGGTCTCTGATCTGGAGGCTGGACTTGGGACAACTCAGAGCTATTTGAGGAAAAGCTCTTCCTATCACTTCACTTGTTCCTGGTAGAGCAGAAGGATGAGGACGACAACCTTGTCTGTCTTATTCTTCCCGAAATGCCTGGCACCTGGTACAGTAGCTAGCTGGATATAGGAACTGGGTACATATTGTCCAATGGGCTGATGGATGGAGAGATGGATAGATGGATAGTCACATGAGAGTGGAAATAAACCTTTTCTTCTCAGAGCTAGCACTCCTTCTCGACTCAGGCCACAGTCATACAGGCTGAGTATTTTCTCAGGCACCCACAGGAAGAGAGGCACAAGGAGAAAAGGGAAAAAAGAGAGAGAGAAAGGAATCAATGTTCCAACCCTAAAACATCACTGAACTCTGCCAAGTCCCCATCCTTCAGCAAGGTGTGGAGAAATGCATCCTCCCCCATACTGCTGGCAGGGTTTGGGGCTGGTACAACTTTTCTTGTAGGGCAAGTTGTATCGAAAGCCTTAATTAAGGCTCTACTTCTAAGAATTTATAGAAAACCATCATATTAATACTCAGAGAATTCTGTATAAGGACAGCCACAGTAGGATTATTTATAAAAAAAGAAAATTAGTTTACAAAAGCCCAGCAGGTTTGCTTTCTCATCCATTGCTGGTTCCTGGACAAATGCAAGACCACCTTCTCTCCAAGGATTTAGTATAGTCTCATTAAATTAGTTAAACCAAACTTTAAACACGAGGAAGTCAACTCGTATTACATGGATCCAGAGTTGAAATGAGAAGTATTCACTCTCTGCCTCCTTCCACCACCTTCCTTCTTTCTGTTCAACAGTATGTTGCCAAGACAGCAACAACTTTTCAAGGAAATGTCCCATCTTACATTGAAGATTCATTTATTTCCCAACAGAGAAGACATCAACTTTTGTAACAGCATTAACCCTTCTCAATTCCACCTATTTACTTTACCCTGTTCTGATCTGATGCCCAATGAAAATCCAAGATGACTAAACAGCATCTTAACTGGAATTATCTGAAGCCAAATTCTGTGCTTTTTCAAGGATAGAAAGCTGAACGGCAGCCCTAGCACAGGCAATACTTATTTGCTACCTAATCTGAAGATACTTAAAAATAGCCAGCTGTGTGAATGAGGAAACAAACCACATCACAGAAATCAGTGATGTTCCCTGCCATGGCCATCAAGTGAAGAAAGCTTGAGTTAAAATCCAATGGTGGGGCCAAAAATAAGGGCACTTCCACCAACATCGACACCACAGCAAAGAAAACCTTCTCCATGAAAGGAAACTAACATAAGCCATAAAAATTTTGCCCTTGAAAAATGATCAAGGCCTCTGGGTATGTCCGTTTTATTCCCAATTCTTCCAAGGTTTTATCATAGGAAACTCGGAAACATCTCCCAATGTTCTCATGGATTGAACCCACCAGAGGTCACCACTAGGTGTGAACACTTACCTGGTTCCTTCTGCCAATCCGATTTGGTCCTGGAGGCTTCGAGGGGGACTTGATCCCCTGGGGGCTCCCGCCATTCTCTGTGACCTTCCCTACACTCATGACCGCCGACATCATGGTGTTGATGGAAGATAGGTCTGAACCTTCCAAGCCAGCGGGCGAACTTGACGTCATTGGGACAGGGGTTTAAGCTTCTAAGAAGCCTCTGCTATAAAACTGAAAATTGGAAATTGCTGATGTGATCATGGGGAAGTTTAGGCTTCTGTCATTGCCAGGGGGCGCTGGCCATGGCTACTCTAATTGTAATTCAGGTCAAAAACATCCAACGCTGTCTTTCTCCAGTTAAAGGCCACATTCACGCCCAGAGTGATGGAAGCTTTCATTTAAACCAAGTCTTGGCATACCAAGGACGAAGTAACCTTGCCTCCTTTCTGAGTGTGCACTACCAACAGGACTCAAACTCATGAGAGGCAGGTTTCTCTACCTTTCCTAATCTGGGTTAGGCAGAGTGGGAAAGGCCAAGCCAACAATGACAAAGCCCAGAAAGCTGCCGCCCTGCAGCACCCTCCTAAGAACCTAGGCTTATTCACTACTACACAAATGTTCCAGACCTAAAACTAGTGATGAGAAACATCAGGTTTCATTTAACTCCACTGCTGCAATACAGTGATTCTGATGGGGAGCCTGAATTTTATAAGAGATTTAAGAAGCCAACGCTATCAGAGTTACAAACAAATTTCAAATTGACATATCAAAGCCTGTTTCTTAAAAAATATGTATAAAGCAGGTAACGTACCCTAGGAGGGAAAGAAGAACCCTCCCGCCACACTGCTGATTACCTCCATTTTCTGACCCACTGATAGACTATGAAAC